>NT_187519.1:455829-607772 GCF_000001405.40 Homo sapiens | reverse complement strand
AGGCTAACGTATATGCTGTGTTTTCATTTTTAACCAAAAGTTAAAGACGTTAAAAAAAATAGAAAAATATTTATAAAGATGTAAAGAAACAATATTTTTGTATAGCTGTACAATGTGTTCATATTTTAAACTGTTATAAAAGAGTCAAGGCGTTTTTAAAAATTTTAAAGTGTATAAAGTGAAAAAGTTATAGAAAGCAAAGGTTAACTCATTACTGAAGAAAAAAATAATTTTAATTATTTTATACATTATACAGTGTTCATAGTCTACAGTAATCACCTAGGCCTTCATATTCACTCGCCACTCACTCACTCAAAGCAGCTTCCAGTCCTACAAGTTTCATTCATGGTATTATAAATGCAATAGACAGGTATATCGTTTTTAAATCTTCTATATCATATTTTTACTGTACTTTTCTAGATGTGTTTAGATGTGCAAATATCATTGTGTTACACCTGCCTAGAGTATTCAGTAGGGTAACATGCTGTACAGGTCTGTACCTAGAAGTAGTAGGCTATGCCATTTAGGTTTATGTAAGTAAACCCTAGGATGTTGTCACAATGATGAAATTGTCTAATTGCACATTTCTCAGAATGTATCCCCATCATTAAGCAGTGCATGACTGTATTTTCTTCTAAAACTTTTTAAGTTGTACCTATTACATGTATAGGTCTGTGATCCATTTTAATTTTTATGTATGCTGTGAGCTAAGAGTTGAGGTTCATTTTTTTCCCCCTACAGACATCTTGTTCTTTCACTATCTTTCATTGAAAGGGCTGTCCTTTAGTCAGACATGGGGGCTTATACCTGTAATCCCAGCACTTTGGGAGGCTGAGGCAGGAAGACCACTTATGTCCAGGAGTTCGAGACCAGCCTGGGCAACACAGCAGGACCCTGTCTCTACAAAATAAAAAATTTAAAAAATTAGCCTGGACTGGTGGTGCAAGGCAGAATTGGGAGCATTGCTTGAGCCCAAGAGGTTGATGCTGCAGTGATCCATGTTCATACCACTGCATTGCAGACTGGACAACACAGCAAGACCCTGTCTCTGATTGTGTGACTTGGGTACCTCTGTTGAAAATCAGTTTGTCACACATATGGGTCTGTTTCTGCACTGTCTTATTCTGTTTAATTGATCTTTGAGTTTCTCTTTACATCAGTACCACGCTAACTTGATAATTGTTGCTTTGGGAGTATATTTTGAAATAGAGAAAAACTTTGTTCTTTTTTCAGAATTGTTTTGACTCTTCTGTGTCCTCTGCATTTTCATATAAATTTATTATCATGTCAATTTTTACAAAAAAGTCTGCTGTAACTTTGATTATGATTGCATTTAATCCATAAATCTATTTAAGAATATTGAGTCTTCTAATCCATGGACACACACTCTGTTTGCTTATGGATTTCTCTAATGTCTATTGAAACACTGTAGTTTTAGTGTATAGGTTTGTATAATTTTTCAATTTTTCTTTACCTATTCCAATTTTTTCCCATTTACAATTGTTTGCTGTTAGCATATAAGAATATAGTTGGTTTTTATATATTAACCTTGTATTCCATGGCCTTCCTAAGCTCACTTATTAGTTCTAGAAACCCTTTTTCTAAATTTCTTTGAAATGTCTATGTAGATAGTCTTGCTCTTTGTAAATAATAGCAGTTTTACTTCCATTCTTGTTTGTATGGCATGTATATATTTGTCTGTTTAATTGTCTATCTGTCTATGCATCTTTCACTGCCTGTGACTGCTAGTGCAGTGTTGAACAAAAGTAGCGAACATTGTGTTTTTGTTCCCTGTCTCGGAAAAGATTAAGTCTTTTATTATTAAGTGTGATGTTAGTCATAAGTTTTTCATATATACCTTTTATTAGGTTAAGTTCTCTCCTATTCCTAGAATATTTTACCATCAGTGGACATTGACTTTTCTTTAAAGGTTTTTGTGCCTCCATTGAGGTGATCATATGGTTGTTTATTTAGACACGGAGTCTCACTCTGTCGCCTAGGCAGAAGTGCAGTGGCGTGATCTCAGCTCACTGCAGCTTCCAGGTTTATTCCCAGGTTTAAGTGATTCTCCTGCCTCAGCCTCCCAAGCAGCTGGGACTACAGGTGCCCACCACTGCACCCAGCTAATTTTTGTATTTTTATTAGAGTTGGGGTTTCACTATGTTAGCTAGATTGCTCTCGAACTCTTACCCTCAAGTGATCCACGCACCTAGGCCTCCCAAAGTGCTGGGATTACAGACACTGTGCCCGGCTTTCTTTTTAGTTTGTACATTTGATAAATTACATTGACATTCAAATGTTAAGCCAGTCTTCATTCTTGAGATTAACCATCTTTTAGTCATAATGTATTATCATCCTTATATGTTGTTGGAATTGAATTAGAGAAGTTTTGTTAAGTTTTTACATCTATGATTTTGAGGGATATTGATCTGTACTCATCTTTTCATGTAATAGTTCTGTCTGGTTTTGTATTGTGGCAATGCTGGCCTCATGCAACGTGTTAACAACTGTTCTCGTATTTTCTGGGAGTGTTTCTATAAAATTGTAATTATTTCTTCTTTAAAGGGGTGGTGGAATTCATCAGTAACTTTTGGGAGCTCCAGTTTTTATTGTGGGATGACGGTTAACTATAAACTCGTATTTAACTTTTTTTCCCATTTTGTGTTCCGCTTAGATTATACCATTTCACATACATCCTAAGATCCTTTCACTGGTATACTTTTATTTCCTCCTTCAAGCCTTTGTACTGTTGTTACAATACATTTTACATTTGTATGTGTTATAAATGCCACTATGCATTATTATTTTTGTTTTAAACCAGTGATTATCTTTTAAGGAAATTTAAAACAGAAGAAAAATTAATTTCTGTTCCCTGACACAGTTACTATTTCCAATATTTTCTGTCCTGTGGGTAGATCCTGTTTTCCATGTGGTGTCATTTTCCTTCATTCTGAAACATTTTCTTGAACAATTTCTAGTTCAGTGTCTCTGGTGGTGAGTTCTCTAACCTACATGTCTGATAATGGCTTTATTTTCCTCTCATTTTTGGAAAGATATTTAGCTATGTATGAAATTCTAATTTGCCATTTTTACATTTCATTACTATAAAAATGTCACTGTACTTTCTTCTGGCTTATACAGTTTCTGTCAAGAAGTCTGCTTTGTTCCTCTGTGCTTCATGTGTCTTTTTTTCTGTGGTCGCTGTTAAGCTTTTCTGTTTATTACTTCCTTTCAGCTATTGATTATGATGTGCCTTGGTATGGTTTCCTTCACAGTTCTTTGGCTTAGGGTTTTTTGTTTGTTTGTTTGTTTTTTGTCTTTTTTTTTTTTGAGACGGAGTCTCGCTCTGTCGCCCAGGCTGGAGTGCAGTGACGTGATCTGGGCTCACTGCAAGCTCCGCCTCCTGGGTTCACGCCATTCTCCTGCCTCAGCCTCCAGAGTAGCTGGGACTACAGGCTCCTGCCACCAAGCCCAGCTAATTTTTTGTATTTTTAGTAGCGACGGGGTTTCACCATGTTAGCCAGGATGGTCTCGATCTCCTGACCTCGTGATCCGCCCAGCTTGGCCTCCCAAAGTGCTGGGATTACACGTGTGAGCTACCGTGCCTGGCCAGGCTTAGGGTGTTTTAAGCCTTGTGGATCTATAAGCATATAGTTTTCATTCAATTTGGAAAATTTTTGAATATTGTTCTGTAAGTATTTTGTTACTCATTTCTCTTGTTCCATCCTGAGAATCTACTTATTTACATGTTAGACATCTTGATGTTATCCCACTGTTTACTAATGTTCTCTTCTTTTTTTCAGTCTTTTCTCTGTCTTTAATTTTGGGTTTTTCCCCCTGTGTCTTTAAGTTTACTAATACTTTCTTCTCCAGTGTCTAGTAACATCTAGTATATTTTTTATTTCAGACATTTTCATCTCTTGAAGTTTGATTTGGGACTTTTTTTTTCATCTTCATCTTATGTGCTTCCCTCTACCTTTTGAACTTTTATATTTTCAACAGCTATTTTTTATATTTTCAACGGCTAATTTATTATGGTATTCGTGTAATTATATCTTATGTGTCATTTTCTCAGTCTGTTTCTATTCATTGATTAGTCTCCTGATTATAGGTTATTATTTTCCTGTTTCTTTTTATGTCCGTTAATTTTTTATTGGATGCCAGACATTGAATTTTACATTGTCAGATGCTGGAAGTTTGGGGATTAAAAAATATATTTAGGCATTATTCTTATGTATAAACAGTATGATCCTATCAGTGCTTGCTTTTAAGCTTAGTAAGACTGGTCTGGAATATCCTTTGCTCTAGCACTAACACGGCTGCACTATTGAGGCAGTATTTTTTTAAAACTCTGTTAGATGCCATAGTTTTTAGGAGATCTTTCTATTTTGCCATGTGAGAACATGAAATATTTTTGCCTTTCTGTTAGCCTGGTGATTGTTTCATCTGGTCCTTTTCAGTGGCTCTTTCCGTAGCTTTTCCCCACATACAGGTGCTGCTCAATGAGACTCCGAGGCAATCCATTGTAGATCTCTCGAGCTCTGTCTTTGGTACTGTCTTCTGTCTAGTTACCTGTCTCATGAATTCTAGATACCTTGGTCTCCCCAGTCTCTGAACTCAGTATCATTAAATCAAGGATCCTCGTAGGCTCTTTTTGTTTTGTTTTGTTTTCCTCTCCCTGTGTTACAGCCTGGACATTGTTTCTAGGTATCCAGCTGGAGTAATCATAACTATCACCTTATTCATTTCCCTTTTCTCCTGGGCAACTGTAGATCTGTGCATTTAGTTATTTATCCAATTTTAGAAAATTTCAGCCATTCTTTTTCAAATGTCTTTCTCCTTTCAGTAATTTATATTACACATGTGTTAGATTCATTGATACTGTCCAACAGGTCACTGAGGCTTTTTTTTCCCAGTTGTAATTTATATCGATTCTTTAGCTATGATTTCACATTCAGAAGTCCTTTCTCTTTCAGTGTCGAATCTGTTAATTCCATCTAGTGAATTTTTTATTTTAGATGTTGTTTGTTTTATCTCTACAGTCTCATTTGTTTCTATTTCCCTTTATCTCTTCTTTATGTTCATGTACTATTTTGAAGTCAGTATCTATTAATTCCATCATCTCTGATTTTTAGGTATGTTTCTAATGACTGATTTTTCTCTTGGTTATAGGTCATATTTTCTTGCATCTTGTCATGTTTAGTAAACGTTGATTGGATGCTAAATCATTTGTTCTTGGGGGTTTCTTTTTTTAATTTATTTCTTCTTGGCTTTATTGAGGTATAATGAACAAATAAAATTGTATAAATTTTAGGTATACAGTGTAGTGATTTGATACGTGTATGTATTGTGAAAGGATTGCCACAATTGAATTAGTGAATACGTCTGTCACCTATCAGTTACCTTTGTCTGTGTGTGATGAGAATACCTAAGACCTACTCTCTTAGCAAATTTTAAATATACAGTACAGTATCATTAACTATAGTCATGATGCTGTACATTAAATCCCCAGAACTTACCCGTAACTGGAAGTTTGTACCATTTGACAAGTATCTCCCCATTTTACTTACCTCCCTACCCCAGCTCCTGGCAACCATCATTCTACTTTCTGTTTCTGTGAGTTTGATTCTTTTAGATTCCCCATATAAGTGGATCATACAGTATTTGTCATCCCTGACTTATTTTACTTAACATAATGCCCTTGAGGTTCATCCATGTTGTCACAAATGGTAGGACTTCCTTCTTTTTATGGCTGAATAATATTCCATTGTATAAATATACCACATTTTCATTATCCATTTATCTGCTGATAGATGTTGCTTCTTCATATCCAAGAAATCTATATATATAGAGTGTTTCCATTCTTGGAATAGAGATACCTGCAGTCCTGCCTTAATTACAGTGAATAATGCTACAGTGTATGTGGGAGTACAGATATCTATTTGAAATATTGATGTCATTTCCTTCAGATAGATATATATACCTAGAAGTGAGATTGCAGGATTATGTGATAGTTCTATTTTTCGTTTCTTATGGAGCCTCCATACTGTTTTCCATAATGGCTATACCAATTTACATTCCCACCAACAGTGCACAAGGGTTCCCTTTTCTCCACATCCTCACCAGCACTTGCTATCTCATCTTTTTTATAATAGCCATCCTAACAGGTGTGTGGTAATATCTCATTGTGGTTTTGATTTGCATTTCTCTGTTGACTAGTGATCTATCTTGAGCACCTTTTCATGTATCTGCTGGCCACGTGTATATTTTCTTTGAAAAGTATATTCAGGTCCTTTCCCTATTTTTTGATCAGATTTTTTTTCTTTTTTCTTTTTTTTTCTTTTTTTTTTTTTTTTTTGAGATGGAGTTTTGCTCGTGTTGCCTAGGTTGGAGTGCAGTGGCACAATCTCGGCTCACTGCAACCTCTGCCTCCCGGGTTCAAGCGATTCTCCTGCCTCAGCTTTCCGAGTAGCTGGGATTACAGGTGCCTGCCACCACGCCTGGCTGATTTTTGTATTTTTAGTAGAGACGGGGTTTCACCATGTTGGTCAGGCTGGTCTCAAATTCCTGACCTCATGATCCATCCTCCTCAGCCTCTCAAAGTGCTGGGATTGCAGGCGTGAGCCACTGTGCCCAGCCGAGTTTTGTATATATTTGGGATATTGACCTCTTATCAGATATATTATTTGCAAGTATTTTCTCCCATTCCATAGGTTTTTGACTCTGTTGATTGTTTTCTTTGCTTCACATAAGCAAAGAGATAAATAGTAGTCCCACCTATTTATCTCTGCCTTTGTTGCTTGTGCTTTTGGTGTCATATCCAAGAAATACTTGCCAAGACCAATATCAAGGAGGTTTTTTTGGTATGTTTTCTTCTAGGAGTTTTATAGTTTCAGGTCTTACGTTTAAGTTTTTAATCCATTTTGAGTTGGTTTTTTGATATGATGAAAGATAAGACTCCATTACATTCTTTTGCATGTGTATATCCAGTTTTCCTAGCACTATTTATTGAAGAGATTGTTCTTTCTCCCTTATGTATTTTCAGTACCCTTGTCAAATGTTTGTTGACCATATAGGCATGGATTTATTTTTGGCTTTTGATTCTCTTCCATTGATTAGATAATTTGAGTTTTACGTGAGTTACTGGATTTTGTTTTCTTCTGTCAGAGTGTTAGTTTTTATTCTGGAAGGCAGTATTTACAAATATGATTGATATTTCAGTATTGATGTTAGCTTTGTTCGTGTAAGTTCAGGTTTCACTCTGACTCTTGAGATATCTACTGAATGCCTGAGAGTTCAGTAATGACTCTTCTCTGACTGCCTAAAAATTGAATGTCTCTCAGCTCTGCGTGAGCTCTAAGAGCTACTACATATTTACAGCTTTCCTTTCCTTCTCTGCTTGTCCTCATAAAGTTAAACCCTACACATGCATTGCTTAGTATTCAACTGCAGACTCAACTGTGCAGATTCTGTATAGCTTCCTCCTCATTAGTGTTCTGTCCTGCAAATGCCATCTACCTCATCATCCTCAAAATCTGATGTTTATCTTTTCAGCAGTGAAACCCTTGAATTAGGTTTGTGATTTTTCTTCCTCAATAATGTGTCAGAAAGTGCCCCCAGACAAAAGGTGGATAATCATATGGCTCACCTCATTTGTTTCTGTTGTAACAGGTACCATCGTCATGCACTTCCTCTTGTCCAGTATCTAATGAGAGTTCTTTTATATATTTGCTCAGTTTTCATCTTCTGTTTTAGATATGCCCATCAAATGTTTAGGGCAGTTGGGTAAGTTCAGTCCTGTTGACTTTTCACTCATATATTCTGGTTCTTAACTAGTAGTTAACTAAAAAATATAAAAAATTTGAAATTTAAAATACTAAAAAATCTGAAATTTATCGTATTATATTGTGAGGTAAAAATCTAATTTTTCTTCAACCTGGTTGGAAGGCCGTTTTCACATTTTTCTCAATGTATATACTTCTGAAAATATCCTTGTGTAGAAGATGGCTTCTATATTTTTATGTATGTATGTATGTATTTATGTATGTATTTTTGAGACGGAGTCTTGCCCTGTCACCTGGGCTGGAGTGCAGTGGTGCAGTCTCGGCTTACTGCAAGCTCCACCTCCCGGGTTCAACCAATTCTTGTGCCTCAGCCTCCTGAGTAGCTGGGATTACAGCGCCCGCCACCATGCCCAGCTATTTTTGTGTGCTTTTGGTAGGGACGGGGTTTCGCTGTGTTGCCAGGGCTGGTTTCGAATTCTTGAGCTCAGGCAATCTGCCAGTCTCGGCCTCCCAAAGTGCTAGGATTACAGGCGTGAGCCACTGTACCCAGCGTATATTTTTATTTTTTAAGGAAATTTCTAGGAGAGCAACTACCGAACTTTAAAAATTATCTTGCTATCTATTGCCAGATTGTTTTGCAAAGACTGTCTGTTTACATACTAGCCACCAGTGTATAAAGATGCTTATCTCACCTCACTTTCACTGACAATACTAATTTTTCATAAATTTAAAATTGCCCTTTTTTAAGTTTTGTCTCTGTTACATTGATTATTACAAGGTGGCCTATGTTCATATACATTAATAATTTGTAGCCCTCTCAGGTTAATTGTACCTTTACCCAATTTTTTGTGTTTTAGTCTTTTAATTTTTTTTTATATTAAGAATATGAGCTTTGTCACATGTTATAAATACTCCATTTTATTTCTATCTTTGCTACTTTATATGGCTAAATCTACTGGATTTTCCCTTCATTATTCCATTTCTTTTTTATTTTTTTCAACTTTTATTTTAAATTCAAGAAGGTACTTGTGCAGGTTTGTTACCTGGGTATATGGCCATGATGCTGAGGTTTGGCATACAAATGATCCCATGATCAGGTACTGAGCATGGTACCCAACAGTTAATTTTTCCACCCTTTTTAACCCCTCCCCTCCTCTAGTAGTTTCCAGTTTCTATAGTTACCATATTTATGTCCATGAGTACCAATTGATTAGCTCCTACTTATAAGCAAGAGCAAGCAGTATTTGGTTTTCTGTTCCTGTGTTAATTCACTCCGGATAATGGCCTCCAGCTGCATCCATGTTGCTGCAAAGGACCGGATTTTGTTCTTTTTACGACTGCATAGTATTCCATGGCATATATATATATACACCACATTTTCTTAATCCGGTCTATCCATGTCTTTGCTGTTGTGAATAGTTCTGCAATGAACATGCAAGTGCCTGTGTCTACTTTATAGAACAATTTGTTTTCTTTTGGGTACACACTCAGTAATGTGATTGCTGGGTCAAATGGTAGCTTTATTTTAAGTTCTTTGAAAAATCTCAGAATTGGTTTCCATAGTGGCTGAATTAATGTACATTCCCACCAACAGTGTTACAAGCATCCCCTTTTCTCTGCAGCCTTGTCAACATGTTATTGTACTATTAGACCGATTATTGTTTGACATTTTAATGGCAGCCATTCTGACTGGTATGAGATGATATCTCATTGTGGTTTTGATTTACATTTCCCTGAAGATTAGTGATGTGCAGCATTTTTCATATTTGGTGGCTGCTTGTATGTCTTCTTTTGAGAAATGTCTGTTCATGTCATTTGCTCATTTTTTATTGGGTTACTTGTGTTTAGCTTGTTCAATTGTTTAACTTTCTTATACACTTTGGATATTAGACCTTTGTCAGATAGTTTATGAATATTTTATCCCATTCTGTAGGTTTACCCTGTTGATAGTTTCTTTTGCTGTACAGATTCTCTTTAGTGTAATTAGGTCTCACTTGTCGATTTTTGGTTTTGTTCAATTGCTATCGAGGACTTAGTCATATAATTTTTTCCAGTGCCAATGTCAAGAATGGTGTTTCTTAGATTTTCTTCTAGGATTCTTATAGTTTGAGGTTTTACGTTTAAATCTTTAACCAATATTGAGTTAATTTTTGTATATGGTAAAAGATAGGGGTCCAGTTTCATTCCTCTGCGTATGGCTCACCAGCTGTCGAAGCACCATATATTGAATAAGGAGTCCTTTCCCCATTGCTTATTTTTGTCAGCCTTGCCAAAGATTAGATTATTGTAGGTGGCTGGCTTTATTTCTGGGCTCTCTATTATGTTCCATTGGCCTTTGTGTCTGTTTTTTTACAGTACCATGCTGTTTTGGTTGCTGTAGCTTTATAGTATGGTTCGAAGGCAGGTAATTTGATACCTCTAGCTTTCTTCTTTTTGATTAGGATTGCTTTGGCTATTCTGGCTCTTTTTTGGTTTCTTGTTAATTTTGTAGTTTTTTTTTTCCAGTTCTGTGAAAAATGATGTTGGTAGTTTGGTAGGTATAGCCTTGAATCTGTAGATTGCTTTGGGCAGGGAAATATGGCTATTTTACTGATATTGATTCTTCCAGTCCCTGAGCATGGAACGTTTTTTCATTTGTTTGTGTCATGTATGATTTCTTTTAACGGTGTCTTGTAGTTCTCCTTGTAATGATCTTTTACCTTCTTGGTTAGATGTATTCCTGGATTTTTTTGTGTGTGTGGCTATTGTAAATGATTTGGCTCTCAGCTTGGATGTTATCAGTATATAGAAATGCTACTGATTTTTGTACATTGATTTTCTCTCCTGAAACCTTGCAAAAATCATTTATCAGTTCTAATAGCCTTTTGGTGGAGCCCTTAGGGTTTCCTGAGTATCGAATCATTATCAGTAAAGAGAGATAGTTATACTTTTTCTTTGCCTATTAGGATGCCTTTTTATTTCTTTCTTTTACCTGATTTTCTCTGGCTAGCACTCTCCACTAATATATTGACTAGGAGTGGTGAGAGGGGGCATCCATATCTTGTTCCAGTTCTCAAGGGGAATGCTTCCAGTTTTTGCCTGTTCAGTATGATGTTGGCTGTGGGTTTGTCATAGATGGTGCTTATTATTTTCAGGTATGTTCCTTTGATGCCTAGTTTGTTGAGGGTTTTTATCATAAAGTGATGTTGGATTTCATTGAAAGCTAATTTGGTTTATGTGGTGAATCACATTTATTGATTTGTATATGTTGAACCACCCTTGCATCCCAGGAATGATGCCTACTTGATCATGGTGAATTAACTTTTTGATGTGTTTTTCAATTCAGTTTGCTAGTATTTTGTTGAGGATTTTTGCACCTGTGTTCATCAGGGATATAGTCCTGTGATTTTCTTTCTTCATTGTGTCTTTGCCAGGTTTTGGTATCAGGATGTTACTGGCTTTGTAAAATCATTTTTTTGGAATAGTTTCAGTAGAATTTATACCACCTCTTCCTTGTACCTTACATAGAATTCAACTGTGAATCCGTCTTGTTTGGGACTTTTTTGGTTGGTAGGTTTTTTTTATTACTGACTCAGTTTTGGAACTCGATATTAGTCTGTACAGTGTGTCAATTTGTTCCTCATTCAGTCTTGGTAAATTGTGTGTTTCCAGGAATTTATCCATTTCCTCTAGATTTTCTTGTTTGTATGTATAGACACATAGCCTCTGAGGACCTTTCGTATTCCTGTGGGATAAGTTGTAATGTAATCTTTGTCATTTCTAATTGTGGTTATTTATATCTTCTCTCTTTTCCTTTGTTAATCTCACTAGCAGTCTAGCAATCTTCTTTATCCTTTCAAAGAACCAACTTTTGGCTTCATCATTTCATTATGTGGATTTTTAGGTCTTAATTTCGTTCCATTCTGCTCTGATTTTAGTTATTTTTTTTTCTTCTGCTAGCTTATGGGTTAGTTTGTTCTTGTTTTCCTGGTTCCTCTAGATGTGATGTTAGAGTATTAATTTGAGATCTTTCTAATGTTTTGAGGTAGGCATTTAGTGCTTTCAACTTTCCTCTTAACACTGCTTTTGCTGCGTCCCTGGAATTTTGGTGTGTTGTGTACCTATTTTCATTTATTTCAAATACTATTTTTATTTCTGCCTTGATTTTGTTGTTTACCCAGAAGACATTCAGGAGCAAGTTGTTTAATTTTCATGTAACTGTATGGTTTTGAGATACCTTCTTGGTATTGATTTCTGTTTTTATTCCACTGTGGTCCAAGATTATGGTTAGTATGATTTCAGGGTTTTTTTGTTTGTTTTTCTTTTTCTTTTTCTTTTTTTTTTCTTTTTTTTTTTTTTTTGAGACTTACTTTAAGGACGAGCATGTGGTCAGTCTTGGAGTATTGTTCCATGTGCACCTGAGAAGAATGTATGTTCTGTGGCTGATGGGTAGAGTATTCTGTAGATGTTTTTCAGGTTCAGTTGGTCAAGTGTTGAGTTTAAGTCCAGAATGTGTGACTTTTCTGCCTGAATGATCTCACTCATGCTAGTAGGGTGTTGAAGTCCCCCACTATTATTGTGTTGCTGTCTATGTCTTTTTGTAGATCTAGTAGTACTTGTTTTATGACTCTGGGTTCTCCAATATTGGGTGCATACATATATGTGAGATATATATATGGAAGATATATGTGTGTGTGTGTGTGTGTATATATATATATATATATATATATACACACACATATACATGGAAGAGAGAGATATATATATGGAATATATATACATACTGGAAGAGAGAGAGAGATATATATATATATGGAAGATATATATGTGATAGTTAAGTCTTCTTGTTGAATTGAGCCCTTTATCATTATGTAATACTCTTCTTTGTCTTTTTTTTTTTTAACTGCTGTTAGTTTGAAGTCTGTTTTATCAGATGAAAGAATAGTGATTCCTGCTCTTTTTTGTTTTCCATTAGTGTGGTAGCTCTTTCTCCAAACCTTTACTTTGAGCCTATAGGTGTCATTATATATAAGATGGGTCTCTTGAAGACAAGCCAGATGGATGAGTCTTGTTTTTTTATCCAACATGCCACTCTGTGCCTTTTAAGTGAGGTGTTTAGACCATTTACATTCAAAGCTAATACTGTTATGTGATGTTTTGATCCTATCATGAAGTTATTAGCTGGTTGCCTTACACTTTCTAGTGTGTGTTTTTGCTTTATAGGGTCTGTGGGCTATGTACTTACATGCATTTTTGTGGTAGCATTTATTTTTCTTTCATTTCCATATTTAGAATTCCCTTAAGGATCTCTCATAAGGCTGGTCTAGTTGTAACAAATTCCTTTGTGCTTGTTTGTCTGGAAAAGATTTTACTTCTTATTCACTTATGAAGCTTGGTTTGGCAGGTTATGAAATTCTTGGTTGGAATTTCTTTTTTTTTTTTTTTTTTTTTTTTGAGAAAGCTAAAAATAGGTCCCCAGTCTCTCCTGGCTGGTAAGGTTTCTGCTGAGAAGTTGACGGTTGGCCTGATGACATTCCCTCTGATCTGCCCTTTTTCTCTAGCTGCCTTTAAGATTTTTTTTTCTTTAGTGTTGACCTTGGACAGTCTGGTGATAATATCCTTAGTGATGTTTATTTTGCATAGTATCTCACAGTTGTACTCTGGATTTCTTGTATCTGGATATCTGTCTCCCTAACAAGATTACCAAAGTTTTCTTGAGTTATTTCCTCAAATATATTTTCCACATTGTTAACTTTTTCTTCTTCTCTCTCAGGAATACCAGTAATTTGTAGGTTTTATCACTTTCTGTAATTCCATATTTCTTGAAGACTTTATTCATTTTTTAAAATTATTTTTTCTTTATTTTTGTCTGACTGGATTAGTTTAAAATACTGGTCTTCAGGCTCTGCAAGTCTTTCTTCTGCTTGGGCCGGTCTATTGTTAAAGCTTTCAGTTGTATTTTGAAATTCCTTATGTGAATTTTTTCAATTCCAGAAAGTCTGATTGATTTCTCTTAAAGATGCTTATTTCTTCCTTCATTTCCTGGATTACTTTAGAAGTTTTTTTTTGTTGATTTTCAACTTTGTCTTGGATCTCATTGGGCTTACTGCAATCCCTACTTTGAATTCTTTATCTGTCATTTCTGAGTTTCCATTTTGGTTAGGGACCATTTCTGTAGAGCTAGTGTGATCCTTTGGTGGTATCACTACATTCAGATTTTTCATAGTGCTGGAATTCTTACGCTGCTTTTTTCTTATCTGGAGACCCTAACACTTGTAACTTCTGTAATTATTTTCATGCAGGTAGGATTTTTTCTTTCTTTTTCTTTCCCTATAATGTTATTATATATTTTTTTCTCCTTTCCCTTTTCTTCCCCTCCCTTCAGAATGTGACTATAGAGAATTCTGGGTAGGGTCTTTGACTTTGTTTCTTTAGTCCTCTGTGCTGCTTTTGGCCAATTTTATTTTGGGCTGTGGCATTTGACCTGCAAGCCTGTAGATGGCACTTAGAGGTAAGAGCTAACTGCAGCCAACATGGCTTAGTGTATACCTTGATACTTGTTTACTGGCAGAAGCTCTTTGTTGCCACAGGCTATGGCCAATTCATGGAATGTACCATGGTCTGAGCTCACTGCCCAGCCCCAGGGTCAGGGGGTTGGCAGAGGGCAGGAATGGCAGGGCCAGACCTGACAGGTCCACCTACAGGTCCCCTGATGACAGACACAGGCACTAGTGCCGAGGGAGAATGCAGTGGGTGGCCACCAAGGGCCCAGAGATGTGCCTAGTAGTGTAGCTGGGAAACCTCCTCAGCCCCAAGTTCTCTGCACAGGGATAGGGGATGGTCTAAACTTCTAGTCCAGGAGAGTAGGTGCTCAAGATGCCTAGAGCATGGAGCAGAGACCCCCTGCACTAAGATCTCTGCATAGGAGGGGTGGGGTGACTCAAACTCCAGAAGCAGGCAAGGAGGTGCTCTGAATGCCTAGGGATCTTCCTGGGTATGGAGCAGAGAGAGCTCTGCTTCACCATAACGTTATGTCCAGGAGGAGTGCGGTGGCTCAGGCTACTCAACTAGGCAAATGGTTACTCTGGATGCCAGAGATGTGCTTGGAGATGGAGCAGCAAGGGCCCTACTGCACCACAATCTCAGGAGAACAGAGTGGGTTACCCGGCAATGGCACATGCGAATCTGTTCCAGGTTGCCAAGCTGAACGTGACTGCAAGTTTTGCAGCCCAGGAGAAACTGCAGCTGTAGCGGCTCTCCTGCTGCCCCAGGCTTGAAAGTGGGGAAAGCACAATTCTAGCCCTGTTGTTGGGGTACTTTCCACAGTTTTGACTGTGAAGCCCCTATCCCATTCCAGAGCAGGTGTTTTGATCTCTGGTCCAAGACTGACATGCCTGTGCAGCCACACTGCTGGGTCACCAAGGAATGGCTGAGTTTTTATGTGCCCAAATTTAAAACATTGTCCTGCTCTTTTTCCCGGGTCTGGAAAAATGCCTTCAGCTTTTTCCGTCACAGTGACTCCAGGCCACTCCCCAAGTTAGCTCCAGGACTGGGAGAAACAAAGTGCTCTCCCTTGGCCTAGGTTGCTTGGATCCCCAGTGGAAGGGTGAGTCACAGAGGGAGGCTCCTTGCCTCTCTCATGCACTGGGGCTTCACTTAACTTTTATCAGCTGGATGCCGTCAGTGGGGCTGTTTGCTGGCCTTCTCCTCTCTGGGATCTGGAGTGTACGTCATGATTCCAGTAGATTCCTGTTTTCCTTCTTGAATTAAAGCTCACAGAGTTTATCTTTATCTGCTATCTTGCTATGTCCAAGTGGCTGAGGCGTGCAGAAAGCCTCTAACCCACCCTCTTGGGGAAAAGCAAAAAGTCTATTTCTTCCATTTCTTTTATGCTTAGAAAATTCTTCTTCATCTTGAGACTAGATAACCACTTACACATATTTTCTAGTTTTTTAATTTTATATTGGACTAATACATATAAATTTTATTTTGTTATGAGGTGAAAATTAAATTTTATGTTTCTTCAGAGTTAATTATTGTTGCACTATTTGTCATTTTCCTGTATACTTTATCATATATTGTCATGTTCAAGTATTCTGTATTAAATTTTTATAACCTAAAATAACCTGTTCCTTGCTTCATTATTTCTTTGGTGTTTCATTTGTGTACCTATTCCATATGAATTGTAGTTATATAAGTCAATTTCTTTAGACAAACCTTTTTCTTGAAGGCACTATTTAATATGTTGCACAGAAACCTTCTGGTTCAATAATACCTTGGCTCACCTCATCCATTTTTTTAAAGGAATGGTGTATTATTTCTACCTTCACATTCTCTTTTCAGCCCACCTAAATATGACAACTTACCTTTGAAAAGTAACAGATGACCTAATTCCTAAGTACAGCAAATGTTCCTGTCTTTCTGAAACTTTATTTTCCCTTCACTTCTTGTAGTCTTGCTTCCTTTTTTTATATCTCTTAGTATTCCATCTGAATGTCCTGTTCTGCTTTTTTCTGTCCTATGTATAGTAGTACCCTAAGATTCTGCCTTCACTTATCTTTTCAGTTTTTACTGAATTCCTAGACTATTCTTTGCTTTCTCAGTCTTAACAATATCCTTTCTATGAATGATTCCCATATCTACCTTCATGAACTTGCAAAGCTGTGTTATCAAATGCCTATTTAGATATCAGCATGTCAAAATAAAACCCATTGCTCCTCTGTCCCCATTCCCATTCTTTTCCTTTATATCAGCATCTACTCAGTCAGCCATAGAGAAACCTCAACATCGTTGATTTCTCCCTTGACCCAAGTGGTAAAAGCTAGTTCCCTCTGGAATATTGATTCTCTTTATATGTCTGTTACTACTACCTTAGCTGATGTCCCTCAGAAGCTCTCTGCAAGCTCAAATATAACTTCTGATATTTCCAAACATGCTTATTCTTTGAATGTCTTTTCTGCTTTATAATAATTACCGTAACTTTAGTAGAAAAGTTTATGTATCTGGCTCTTGTAACCAGATAGTGATGTCCTTGCAGATTGGTACGGTTTTCTCTCATTGTGTCTGCAGCTTTTCATAACAGTGGTGATCAGTAACTTTTTTGTTGTACTTTAAAAATTGTTTAGCAGTCTGTAGTCTCAGGCATTTTTAGTTGATTCTCTCATTGCTACCCGAATTGCCTTTTTAACATTATGCTAATTATTTTATTTTATTTTTAAGTTCCAGGGTACATGTGCAGGATGTGCAGGTTTGTTACATAGGTAAATGTGTGCCATGGTGGTTTGCTGCACCTATCAACCCATCACTTAAGTATTAAGCTCAGCATGCATTAGCCATTTTTCCTGATGATCTCCCTCCCTTGGCTCTGCCCCACAAGCCCTAATGTGTGGTGGTGTTCTCCCTGTGCCCATGTATTCTCATTGTTCAGCTCCCACTTATGAGTGAGAACAAGCGGTGTTTGGTTTTCTGTTCCTGCGTTAGTTTGCTTAGGATAATGGCTTCCAGCTCCATTCATGTCCCTGCAGAGGACATGAGCTCATTCCTTTTTATGGCCGCATAGTATTTCTTGGGTTATATGTACCACATTTTCTTTATCCATCTATCATTGATGGGCACTTGGGTTGATTCCATGACTTTGCTATTGTGATAGTGCTGCAGTGAACATATGCATGCACGTATCTTTGTAGTAGAATGATTTGTATTCCTTTGGGTATATACCCAGTAATGAAATTGCTGGGTCAAAGGGTATTTCTGGTTCTGTGTCTTACAGCAATTGCCACACTTGTCTTCCACAGTGGCTGAACTCATTTACATTCCCACCAGCATTGTAAAAGTGTTCCCATCTCTCTGTAGCCCCACTAGCATCTATTGTTTCATGATTTTTTAATAATCACTATTCTGACTAGTGTGAGATGCTATTTCATTGTGGTTTTGATTTGCATCCTCTAATGATCAGTGGTGTTGAGCTTTTTTTCATGTGTTTGTTGGTCACATAAATGTCTTCTTTTGAGAAGTGTCTGCTCATGTCCTTTGCCCACTTTTGAATGGGGATTTTTTTTTCTTGTAAATTTGTTTAAGTTCCTTGTAGACTCTGGATATTAGACCTTTGTCAGATGGCTAGGTTGCAAAAATTTTCTCCCATTCTGTAGGTTGTCTGTTCACTCTGATGGTAGTTTCTTTTGCTGTGCAGAAGCTCTTTAATTAGATCCCACTTGTCAATTATTGCTTTTGTTGTAATTGCTTTTGATGTTGTCATCATGAAACATTGCCCGTACCTATGTCCTGAATGGTATTGCCTAGATTTTATTCTAGGTTTTTTATAGTTTGGGGTTTTACATTTGTCTTTAATCAATCTTGAGTTAATTTTTGTATAAGGTATAAGGAAGGGGTCCAGTTTCAGTTTTCTTTATATGGCTAGCTAGTTCTCCCAACACCATTTATTAAATAGGGAGTGCTGGCCAGATGCAGTGGCTCATGCCTGTAATCCCAGCGCTTTGAGAGGCTGAAGTGGGCAGATCACTTGAGGTCAGGAGTTTGAGACCAGCCTGGCCAACATGGTGAAACCCCATCTCTACTAAAAATATAAAAATTAGCCCAGTGTGGTAGCACATGCCTGTAATCTCAGCTACTCAGGAGGCTGAGGCAGGAGAATTGCTTGAACTTGTGAGGTAGAGGTTTCTGTGAGCCAAGATCATGCCACTGCACTCCAGCCTGGGTGACAGAGTGAGACTCTGTCTCAATCATTCAATCAAGCAATCAATCAATAGGATGTCCTTCCCTATTGCTTGTTTTTGTCAGGTTTGTTAAAAATCAAATAGTTGTAGATATTTGGTCTTATTTCTGAGTTCTCTATTCTGTTCCATTGGTTTATGTGTCTGTTTTTGTTACCAGTACCATGCTGTTTTGGTTACTATAGCCTTGTAATATAGTTTGAAGTCAGGTAGTGTGATGGCTCCAGCTTTGTTCTTTTTGCTTAGGATTGTCTTGGCTCTGTGGGTTCTTTTTTGGTCCCATGTGAATTTTAAAATAGTTTTTTTCTAATTCTGTGAAGAATTTCCATGGTAGTTTATTGTGAATAGCATTGAATCTATAAATTACTTTGGCCAGTATGGCCATTTTCCCAATATTGATTCTTCATATTCATTAGCCTGGAATGTTTTCCCATTTGTCTGTGTTCTCTCTTATTTCCTTGAGCCGTAGTTTGTAGTTTTCCTTGAAGAGGTCCTTCACTTCCCTTGTTAGCTGTATTTCTAGGTATTTTATTCTCTTTGTGGCAGTTGTGAATGAGAGTTCATAAATGATTTGGTTCTCTGTTGTTGTTGTATAGGAATGCTTATGACTTTTGCACATTGATTTTCTATCCTGAGCCTTTGCTGAATTTGCTTATCAACTTAAGCTTTTGGACTGAGAGGATGGGATTTTCTAGATACAGGATCATGTCATCTGCAAACAAAGACAATTTTACTTCCTCTCTTCCTATTTGAATGCTCTTTATTTTTTTCTCTTGCCTGATTGCCCTGGCCAGCATTTCCAATACTATGTTGAGTAGGAGTGGTGAGAGAGGGCATCCTTGTCTTGTGCTGGTTTTCAAGGAGAATGCTTCTGGATTTTGCCCATTCAGTGTGATATTTGCTGTGGGTTTGTCATAAATAGCTCTTATTATTTTGATGTATGTTCCTTCAATATCTAGTTTACTGAGAATTTTTAACATGAAGCGATGTTGAATTTTTTTGAAGGCCTTTTCTGTGTCTATTGAGATAATCACGTGGTTTTTGTGTTTAGTTCTGTTTATATTATGAATTACATTCATTGATTTGCATATGTGGATCCAAATTATGCTAATTTTTAAGCTAAAATTCTTTCATACTTATTATCTACAGAAAAAAAATTCATGCTCTTGTCATGTTAGTAAAGATCCTAACCAATCTGATCTCATCTTTTTTTTCCAGAAGTCCTATTATTTCTCTGATTATATATTATTTTTTGGCTACATGTGTTCCCTACATGTGTTTTCTTGCCATTGCTATTTTTCCTCTTTAGTATTAATGCTTTCTAAATTTTTATTAATCACCTACTATGTGCAGGTACTGTCCTAGGCTGTGTTGGAAATACAAATGGATAAAACTTGAGTAGCACTTTTTTGGAGATTTTTCCCTTAAATTTTCCATTATGAAAAACCTATTCTTCAAAACTTAGGTAAAGCTTTTTCTTATCTATCAAGTCTCCTTACATGATGCCAGCACAGATTAATCCCTCTTTGCCTTCAAAGTACTTTTAATATCTGAGTTATAAAATGTTATCACAACCCTCTTTTTTTAAAAATCAATACCTGTGTCCTCTTCATTCATATTGCTTAATGGCAGGAATTGTCTTTTGTTTAAACCACTTTATTGAGTTATGATTGATATACAAAATGCTGTATATATTTAATCGGAACAACTTGATGGGTTTGGAGTTAAGTGTATACTCATGAGAATGTTACCGCACTCAATGCTTGGAATCATAAGAGATTCTGTCTTATCACTGTATTCCCTCTTTCTCTTCTCCAGTGCCCAGCAGTGACTTTAAAATAATTGATACTCACTAAATGAATGCTGAATTGAAAAGTTGGTTCAGAGCCAAAGTAGAAACTGAGAAGGATTAGCCAGAGAGTTAGGAGGCAAATCAGGAGAGAGTCATATTACCAAAGCCCAGAAATGTGTTTCAAGAAAGAGGGCAGTAGGTGATGTCCTAAGCTTCAGATTTGGAAGAAGCAGTGCAGACTGTAAATAGATTATTGGATTTGGCGATTAAGAGGTTGTTGGTTATCTTAACAAGTTCCATAAAGTAGTAAGGGTACACATCAGATAGCAGACTGAGAAGTAAATTCTTACCCTTAAATATAATTTTTAGCTGATATATTTATAGAAATTGGCTGGCAGACACATTGAAGATACATAGTCTAAATAAAGATCTAGAATCTTGCATATATTATATCGATTTAGGGAGGATCCATATTTTTTGTAAAGTTAAATGAGTGGGTAAGTAGGCTTGACATTCTTTTAAGAAAATTTAGAAACCTAATCACTATTTTCATCTCATTAGAAGACTACTGCAACTCCACATAGAGATCACACGATCTTTTCATCAAAGTTAGTGATATTTTGCATGGCAGAAATTATTTTAACCTGGAAAACATGGCTCCTTCTACTTTCTATCCTTGTTAGGCTGGTAATACATTGATAATATATATCTAACTATATGAAATGAATGAATTTTTTAAAATATCCCTGAGTAATTGTATAAATGACTTGATTTTTCACATACTGTATTTGATTATTTGGAAGACATACTTAACATTTCTGTAATCAGAATGCCTTTTAGAATAGATCATGTGTTATAGTTTTAACTGACAACCTTTTTTACCTTGGTGTTTTATAAAATGATGATGCAGTCCCAATTCGTAGCATATGAGATTTGATAAAATACAGTAATATAGTAGGAAGCATTAAAGTTTAGAGACTGCAAAATATTTTAGTTTTAATATAATTATTGTTGTGCTACACTTTTTGGGGCTATAGGTGATATTTTCTCTCTCTCTCTGTTTACTATGCCAATGGGTCATGCATAAAGCTTATCTTATAATATGCTGTTAAGTGAAGGTGGGGGTGGGAATGGGGAAGAATGAATTTATAGGGAACCTGTTTTATGTTACTTGAAATAATGACTTTGGTGTATGCAGAACAAATCTTAGTTAACCATAATTTTCACCAATTTTGTAGAAACATTATGAGTCAATGATCCATGTAAGGGAAAAATTTCTGATCTTGCAGTCAAGGGTACATTGGCTGATTGGTTCATTTTTTTCACAGACATGTATTGTGTATCTATTAATAACCATGATACCTGGCAATATACTCAGCACTGTAAACAATCTTTCATTGTTCTGAGCATGTTTCAACAACAAAGATTAATAGTCAATTCACAGTGCCTGAAACCTGCTCTTTCTTCATGTATGTTGTCCAATTGAGATAATATTTGTAGTTTCTTTAATGAAGAAGTGGCCTATTGGAGAGCCGTGTACTTGGTCACAGTAAGCACCCAGTGAATGTTTGTTGACTATCGAATGGTATATGTTTTAAGAGGTTGACTAGGAAATGGATGGGCTTATAGTTTTAGTGATAATATGAGAAAGGACTGGCATTGTAGCTAATTATTATTGAAAATAGAATATACATTGAGAACTGCAATAGGAATAATGGATGTTTCTCAGTTCATTTTGGGCATTACTAAAATAAATTAAAAACATAAAACCTTAAAGTTTCTCACCATAGAAAATGTCAAATTATTTTCTATTTTCAATAATAATTTGACTTTGAAAATATTTTTAGAGATATCATGATTAATCAAAAATTGTAGAATATAACAAGTTCGCGTAAATCAGTTTCAGCAAATTGACAGTCTTGTCTTTGAAATCAAATAATTAAGTGAAAATATATCTGTGCTTGTGTTCATTTATTTTAGTAATATCTCAATACCTAATCCTTGAAGAGTGAAGCAACAGTATAGTGAGGGGGAAACTGCAATCTGATGATGCATACCTTTTTCCTCTGGTAACTGAAGGTTAAATGGGTAGCAAGCAGAATGCCTTAAACAAGATTGGTATATTGATTAAAACGCTGATTTAACAGCTCGCAGTTTCCCCTTGGAAACCTGGAAAAGATAAGCCAGCTGCTGTCTAAGAGTGCTCAGTGTCCACTGAGAGTACACTATCTATCATCACAATATGGTGATGAGAGGTGTTTTATGTTTGTGTTAATTTCCCCCACTAAATCAGTAATTATTACAATCCTGTCCCTGCTGTTTACCCTGCAGCTGTTTTTCCATTTGTCGAGAGAGCGGGTGTTCTCTGAGGACCGCACACGTTTCTATGGTGCAGAAATTGTCTCTGCCTTGGACTATCTACATTCCGGAAAGATTGTGTACCGTGATCTCAAGGTAAAAAAAAAAAAAAAGTAATCAAAATTTGTTTTTGCAGAGACTATAGGGACAAACATAAAGTAATTACAAAGTTATACAGTTTTGAGAAAAGCAGATTTAGTTGGGAAAAAAGCACTATGTTTAAAAATTTAGTTCACTACATTTGAAGGAAATTTTATTCACTAACATGTATGTAGTTGATTTATGTGTGAGTTTTTGATTTGCAAAGCAATTTCTGCCCGACTGCTTGGATCAAATAAAAATGTTAAACGTGATTAAGTCAAATAAATTCACAAGTTACACTTAAAACAAGTTTTATTATGTTTACAGAAATGTTTTATGAAGAAACATAGTAAGACTATTGGAAGGAACATATTCATTTTGATTTTAGCATTAACTTTGGGTGGTTTTAAATACCTGAAGCATTTTAATATAATAACCATTTATTAATGTGCCTCGTGTTTTATTTATGAAAGCACTCTATTTTTTCTGTTGGTAATAGTGTTTTGACTGCTGTAAGTTCCATTATGATGAGACCCTTAGGGTAGCTCAGGATTGGCAAACTTTCTATAAAGGGCAGATAAAATAATTTAGGCTTTGCTGTTCGTGTATAGTCTCTTTTGTAAACTACTCAACTCCATCATTGTAGGGTAAAAGCAGCCTCAGATAGTATGTAAATGAATATGTTTGGCTATGTTCCAGTAAACAAAATAGGCGATGGGCTCAATTTAGTCCACAGGTTGTCATTTGTTGATCCCTGGAGTAACTCATACAAGGTAATAGTAATTCTCATGACAGTGTTATGAATTAGGTTGGCGACATTAAAGGAATTTGTACCACGACACATTTTGAATAAATTCTAGATGTTAGTCTTTCTTTTGTAAGAAGCAAATTGTGTATAAAATTTGACACAGAATTGCCTTATTGATCAAATACTATTTCATGTAACGTAATGATTGGTAGAAACAGAAGTTACATGAGGCTTTTATGAAATTCTGTTTTGTTTGAAATGAGGTATATAGAAGCTATAAGATGTTGTATGTAGGAAGAACTGAACTATGTACCTATAAAACATCTAGATCAGAGATGACCAACTGTCTAAGTGCCAAAATGGGCTAAAGATTAATACAAATTAATAGTTTGATTGTATTTAGCCTGAATCTTTTTATAACTAGGAATGTGGCAGAATTCAGCATTCATGTATCTGCATGGCCAGATAATCCTATACTGTCTAAATGTCTTAAATATCAATTTCTTTAAAGGAATTAGTTATGTGGCATGACAAAATGTGTTAACTTTCCAAATATACTTAGAAGTAGTTAGCTCTGCTCTTCCTGAGTCCACTTCTCGTATTCCCACTACATGTTTTATGAATCCTATTTGTAGGGGTGAAAAGGGGAAGGATAGAAGCATGGAGGCTTAGATTTAAGGAAATTATAACAATTTTGAAGTAATAGGTAACATCCAGAAAGCTTAAATTCAAAAGATTGAATTATTAGCCTAAAGACTGCTAAAGAAAAGAATGTTCATTTGATTGCAGTATTGATTATGGTCTTGGTCAGTATTTCTTCTTTAATCATTTCTCATCAAATGAATCAACATATTGAGGGTATGTGTGTGTGTGTTTTCAGATGGAGTCTCGCTCTGTCGCCAGGCTGGAGTGCAGTGGTGCCATCTTGGCTCACTGCAACCTCCAACTCCCTGGTTCTGGCGATTCTCCTGCCTCAGCCTCCTGAGTAGCTGGGATTACAGGCATGTGCCACCACGCCCAGCTAATTTTTGTATTTTTAGTAGAGACAGGGTTTCACGGAGTTGGCCAGGATAGTCTCGATCTCCTGACCTCGTGACCGCCTGCCTCGACCTTCCAAAATGCTGGGATTACAGGCATGAGCCACCATGCCCAGCCAACATATTGGTATATTGAAGCTCATTAAATGAGTTCCACTGCCCCATTCTTTCTGATGATGGAATTAGACTAAATTTGTCAAACTGCAATATAAAGTACCTACTTTATATATGAATATCAGTCAATTAGTTACCACGTGCACAGTTCACCAAGTTTACTAGACAATTAAGTGGTCTCTGCTCCCTGAGTTTATTTCTTAAAAAATATAGCCTTAACTTAAAGACCTAAGTATATAGTTAGCATAGGACAGAAACTGTAAAGGTACACCTAGAAAAATCCATGTAACATAAGAAATCAAACATCCAAAACTTACACACATGTTATTTGTATCCACAGTAACAGGATTATTTATAATACAATGACATATTTTAGGTAAGATCACAGAAATTTTGAGCTGGTCTTTAATTTATAGGTGATCTCCTTCAAACCTAGAAGCCTAGTAAATGACTTACTAAAAGTAATGACCTAAGTTGATAGCAGTCAGGGTTTTTGGAACTCATGAATCCTAGCTCCTTATTGAATGTTCTTGTCACTATATCATTCTGACTTCTAGAGTTGAAATGAAATTATAGAGGGGGGATGCATTGGATTAACTTTGGGAAATCTTTGTAAGCCTAAACTTCAAATTAAACTGCAGAAGGTAAGAGAATGAGTGTTTCAAATATATTTATACCAGATGTATTAAAGAACATTATCATGAACTGATTTAGGTACCCACTTTGATCAGTCTCAGATTTGTCTCTGTTCTCATTACTAATAACCTTGACTTTGTTCAAATGCAAATCCAATTGCTATGCCTACAGTAGCAGCACTTCTCAAGTAAATCCATACCCGTTTGCCGCTGTCTCATTCACATTGGAGGCAGAGCCTTCTTTTATGTGCAGGTTAACTTAAGATATTTTTATCAGTTCCTGTTTCCTAATAAATTAGTGTTTATAGCAACAGAAAAATTGTTGAAGCCTTTGTTGTACTTTAGAAAGTAAGTTCATTTAATTTGTCAATACACATCATGTAATGAAGTTTTATTTTTATTAAGGACCCAAATTCCTTGTGATTACTTAAGGAAAACTGCTGTTGCTTCATGATTGCCCAAAATTTCGAAGAAATCTCTTCAAAGACTTCTTCAGTAGTCCAAATTATATGTTAAAATCTTCTTTTCTGCTTAGCTCTTATTTTACAAATACAACCAATGACCATGGCCATCTAAGCACAGCGTAGGCTGAACAGGGACATTTGCAAAGGTGAATATAACTATATTGGAAATCATTAAGAATTAATTTCTTGCTAGTTTATGGGAGAAAATAATACATAAGTTGTTGCTATTTCCTATTTGTAGAACACCTAATCTTGTTTTCCACCTAATGTGAGAATAGTTAACCATTTACAGTATTAATATGAGAAAGCACCAAATAAATTTAGGTACTTTCTAACACTCAGTAATGGCACGAAGGGGTGGCTTCAGAGAGTTTTATCATAGCCCTCCTCGTCCTCATCAGCTCCCTAATGTTCACTTCAAATAAATGCAGTTTGGGTGGGGAAAGCATGCTTGCTTTGCTTGCTGAGCTTCAAGACACTTTCCCCAGCTCCCACTTCTAACTAGATGGTCACTGGATTTCCCCCTATATAGAAATCTTAAGCCACTGCTCTTCATTCCTTCCACTTCTAAAATAAAATTGTACTGGTATTGGACTATGTACCTTATTCGTAATAAATTTGTAAATAGCCTGGCAACCTATTTGGGGTCTGTTTACATGATGAGTCCTTTTCTGGATTCAGAGGTTGAAGTGAAGAAACGTTTTTCTTTTGGAATTTCAGCATTCCATGGTCATTCAGTTTCTGCAGGTTAGCTTGTGACATTTTGGCACTGGATGCCCGTAAACTTAAACTTGCAATGTGCAGAGTAGGAATTCCTTACTACCTTCTTGGGCCTGAGTGAGTCTTGGTGCCTAAAACTGAGTTTGATGTATGTGGGCTAAAATGTGGTGTAAGAGTGAGTAACAGGAATTGTTTATTTCTATTGCTGCAGTAGTCATCGGAGCCCTTAGGAACTGCTATTTTCATTCCTTTGTTTAATCACAATGTCAGTCGTTTAATTAAAATGATACCATATATATGGTGTTTTTAAACTTTCAAATATTTAGTCTGGCCTACATTCAAGCCTAGCTTCTCAGACTGGGTGCTACAAACAGGTTACAACCATGCCTCGGCCTGCAAAGTGTTCAGAGAAGCTTCCAGGCCAGTGAGTTCTGGCTTCAAGCATCTTGTCCAGTTAACCTGGTATGCCCCACAACTTTAAATTGTTATTTTACTGTGAAATGTAAAAGGTTGGGAAGCATTGTATTAAAGACAGCTAGGATTTTTAAAGTTTAATTTTATGCTAGCCATCAGCAAGAACAGGAGGAAACATAGTAATTTTTGTTACAATTTTGTGCCCACTAAGCACAGGAAAAAAGATTTAAAAATCTACCATTTCTTCATATACACACTGAATCAAGACCCTCTGTCAAGTAATGCCTGTCCACTTCAACTGGGCAAAAAATGTTACCCTTTTTTTTGGTGGAAATTCTATGATGTATTATGTCTAGTGTTTTTTTTTTTCTCTCTCCTCAAAAGCATGACCTTTTAGATAACAACCCTCTGATAGAAATAGTAAGCATTACTTAGATTTTTAATATACAATCTTGTTTCTTATGACTTCATATTTGACTTCATCACTACTTTTGTTAGTGGATGCATCCATTAAGCATAAGCATGCTGCCCTACTCTCCATCTTGGAAACTGAGATTGGCTGTGAATATTAAACAGATGCATGTAAAGTTTCATAAATTTAGAGTACCTAAGCAGTCAGTGACAATATGCATTACATATTGTCTGGCTAACAAAGGGAAGAAGGAAAGTGATCTAGAAGAGAAGACTAAAGAAAGATCATTTGTAAATATTTTTCTTCCTCCTTTACGCAGTAGAAAGATTCCTAAAAATGTATGACTACTGTAAATAATGTAAATACTACTTACATTATGTTAGTGTTAAATGAACCAAGACAGTGATTTCCAGATGTTACTGATATATCTAGGCCATTGATATGCTTTGGAAAGACTTACAGGTGTTTCTGTGCATTCTGCAGGTTTACGAATCACCCTACTAATGGTCCTTGTATTTTACAGAAACTCTGTTAATGCATCCTGAGTAAAATTATCATGTATTGTATAACAGAACTGTACATTTTATTATCTCCTGATTTATCTTTATACAAGATTAGATTTGGGGATATTATTTTTTAAGCTAATATTTTGGTGGACAAGTTTTAGTCATTCATGCTCAGCAAAACAACGTTTTAGGATGGTGAGAGAAGACAAAGTAATTGATAGAAGAATGTGGACACTACTTCAAAATAACTGGGAAATTATGAGGCTGGGCACAGTAGCTCAAACTTGTAATCCCAGCACTTTGGGAGGCAGAGGTGGGAGGACTGTTTGAACTCAGGAGTTCGGGACCAGCCTGGGCAACATGGCAAAATACCATCTCTTAAAAAAAAAAAAAAAAAAAAAAAGGAAGAAACAAACAAAAACTAGCAGGGCGTGGTAGTGGTGTGCGCCTGTGTACTTAGGAGGCTGAGGTGGGAGGATCAGTTGAGCCTGGGAGGTTGAGGCTGCAGTGAGCTGTGATTGTGCCACTGTACTCCAGCCTAGGCAACAGAGCGAGACCCTGTCTCAAAAATAAGAAAATTATAAAATATTTGTGTTTTGTTTTTTTGAGACAGGATTTCACTCTGTCACCCAGGCTGGAGTGCAGTGGCACCATCTCTGCATATTACAACCTCCCCACACACCTCGGGCTCAAGTAACTCTCCCGCTTCAGCCTCCAGAGTAGCTGGCACCACAAGCGCATACCACCACGCACAGCTAATCTTTTGTATTATTGGTAGAGACAGGGTTTCACCATGTTGCCCAGGCTGGTCTTGAACTCCTGAGCTCAAGCGATCTGCCTGCCTCAGCCTCTCAAATTGTTGGGATTACAGGCATGAGCCACTGTGCCTAGCCTGTGTTTTGTTACTTAAAATAAATTATTGCATATTGAAAAGTATTTTTAATGCAGTCATTGAGCCAACAGAAATGTTTTATGGGGTTCCACTCTTGAACTTTGTTCTTTTCTTTAAAATACAGTGTTTTTTAGAAGAGCCCACATCATGACAATTTACAAATAAGCCATTAAACTCTTCATGTTTTAAGAAAAGATGAGTTCATTTATTCAATTCTTATGGTATGTTAAGTTTGCATTTAGCATCTCATTTCTCAAAACTGTCACATTGGATTGTTACTGTTATTTACTTTTGTTTTATAGATGAAATTGAAGCACGTAGAAATTAATAATATGCCCAAGGTCACACAGTGAATAAGGGATAAAGCTCAAATTTTAATATGAACCCTCTGACTTGAACCCATAGTCTTATCCATTTTGCTCTCTACTGCCTCCCAGGCAGTATGCTACCAGTCCCCATGGCCATGACCCTTACCCCATCTCTCTCAGTCATCCCTTAGGCTTATCTTATTTCTTACTATATCATTGTAATTTTTTTAAAAGCTAATTTATAAAACAAGTAGGGTAACCAGCTGTCTTGGTTTGCCCAGGACTGCCCAGTTGTAGCACTACACGTCCTGCATTCTTTGAAACCCCTCAGTTCTGGGCAAACTGGGAGTTGGTCACCCTCAGCCTATTCCTTACCCAAACCTATCCTTGCATCTCATTTCATTCTTCTTCTCACAACCATGATCTGAGGCTCAGAGATGAGATACGAGGTTACAGAATTAGATGCAAGTCAGAATTTTACACACACGTACACACACACGGAGCTAGGTATTAAAAAGCAGTGTTTATACATTTTGGTTTTTCTGTATCCAGCCACTTCAAAAATAGCTTTGTCAAAACGTGGAGAAATAGTGCATCCTGTCTGTCATGTTTCCATGAAGACTTTCCCATGCATACAAAGCATGTGAGGAGTATTGGCACATTACACACCAAACTAGATGGGAATGGAATGGTGTAAAAAGTACATTCACATTTTGTTCAATATTTTGTATTATTTGGAACTTTTATAAGAATTGTTAATGTATTATATTAGTAAAAGAGTATTCACTAAAGATCTTCAGCATTTTATATATTTATAAAGCATATTTTTAAAAATTAATAAAAGGGCATATACATTTTTATTCAGTAAAACAACAGAAGCTTTAGTATATACTTAACGTTTCTCATTATGGCAAAGTGGGAGGGAGGAAGAAGAGAGGTTGTTTGAAAGAGGTGGAAAAAAGAGAGAAACCAGAGGCTGAGAAGAGACAGACCAAGGCAGAAAGAGAAAATAGGACAGTTGAAGACTCTTGATGTTTCTGATTGGTTTCAATATACAAGACTTATTGTCATTTGTGCAGATTGGGTTTGGTTTCTAGGTTCTGGCTGGTAGAGAAACAGGAATATACAAGATAACTGAGTTTGGATAAAATAAAAAATTTTAATTTGGTGGGGCATGGTGGCTCATGCCTGTAATCCCAGAACTTTGAGAGGCTGAGGTGGGTGGATTGCTTGAACCCAGCAGGTCAAGACCAACTTGGGCAGCAAAGTGAGACCTTGTCACTATAAAAAAATTAAGAAATTAGCCAGGCATGGTGGCACGTGCCCGTGTTCCCAGCCATTCAGGAGGCTGAGGTGGCTTGAGCTGCTGAGGCAGAGGTTGTGGTGAGCTGTGATTGCACCACTGCACTCCAGTTTGGGTGGCAGAGTGAGACTCTGTCTCAAAACAGAAATTTTTTTTTAAAGGTTCAGCAGTATATTTTATGTGTTCATTCAGCTTTCTGTAGAAAAAAATTGAAGCCAGACTTACCTCTGTGAGACATGCTATACATGAAATGTATATCAAGCATTTGGTTTAGTTAGATGGCACATTGAAGTACTATAAAAAAGGACTTTTGTCTGTTCTGAACTTTGCTTCAGTGAACACAACTTGCCTAACTGTATTTAGTGTCTGGTTTATAAGACATTTGACAATATGGCAGAGAGTATAATAACATATTTTATATGACTGATATGTTTATGTTCTAAAGTGGAGATCTGTTTTAAATTTGATATTAACTTCAGAGTCCAGGTACATTCTTTCAAATGTCATCACATTAAGGAGTAGAATAAGAATCTACTCCTCAAATAAAAGTTAACTATCATTTATCCTGTTAATATACTTTTCACATTTTGTATATTTTTTCAGTATGACAGAAGAAATACCTTTAGGTTGTGTCTACATGACTAGGCAAAGTTTTATGGGCCCTGAATACATAAGGCTGTATGATCATAACTCAGAACTCATCTGTATCTTTGTTTGATGATAATCATAATCTTAGGTTCAAATTAGCTCGAGGGGAACTGGCTGGTTACATTGTTATTTCTAATTGTGTTGGCTTTGCACAAATTCCTCCTCTCTTACATTTCATAATTTTCCGCTTGAGGCACATGATCCTGTTACTTGGTTAAATCTTTAAGATTTTCTTTGGTGTTTTGAATTAATGGGTTCAAAGAGGGTCCAACTTTATAACATTTATGCTATATATTTTTATTAACTGTTGAATGTTTGACTTTGATATTCTTTTTCTTTTTATATTTAAAAGGGTTGGTATTTCTTTATTACAAAGAACTGCAAAAGAGGATATCGCCTTACCTTACAAAATAAGATTTAGGTTTGATTTACAAGCACCACCAAAAAACATTTCTGTAAGTGAATATTTTATAATAGCAATAGATTCCCAGGAGAAATTGTTGAAACCATCTGTATATATCTAGAAGAAGATGCTCATCTCTTTGGGATTGTTTAGATCACATTTTCTTTTTTAAAAAAAGAGGATTGATGTTTGCTTTGAAAAGTTGATTAGGCTTTAATTTCAGAACTTACAAAATAATGGCTCTTAAAGCTATATCACTTATTCCCATCGGTTTAAAAATAGATAATTTTATCATCGTGAAGTATTTGATAAAACATGTTTCTTTTTACACGTGAAGCAACAGAGTTTGTAAGTACTGAGCGTTCTATTAGCTACAACTATGTCCTGTTTCCAAAATACCTTACTCAGCATTCAGTAGTTTTTTAAAATGGTATTTTCATGTTGTTGAAGACTATAGAACAAATTATGTCATTTTTCTTAATACACAGTTGGAGAATCTAATGCTGGACAAAGATGGCCACATAAAAATTACAGATTTTGGACTTTGCAAAGAAGGGATCACAGATGCAGCCACCATGAAGACATTCTGTGGCACTCCAGAATATCTGGCACCAGAGGTAGGCTTCGGTTCCATTAATAGGAAAGTAACATTGACATAATGATTTGCAAAGTAAACCATTTAAGCATTAAAAGTTAACTGTAGTATCTACTACTTTTATCTATATTTCAACCTGAATCAAAATTTTTTGGCTCTTAATTTGTTATAATGGGGTATTGTAGGATCAAGAATATACTGAAATTAAATTTTATAAACTATAAGCACAAAGGTACTAGCTATAGTCAGTTAAATCAATTTTTATTTCTTGGCCATATCCATTTTATCTTGGCTATACCCATTTTGATTCATTTATTAAAATAGAATAATTGATTTCAGCAAGAGTATTTATATTTATAAACCATCTTGGACTTTCCTTAGAAACAACAGTGGTTTTTAATTTATAGTATTGTGGGTTTATTTAAAATTATTTTATTGGGAAAATTATTGAAATGACAGTAGCTACATTTTGGAATTTATGTCAGAGGAAGCTCCAAACTGGTAACTTCCCTGTGCTAAGGGTTCCACAATAATTTATTAATTTGTTTATTCAACAAATATTTATTGTGTATCTGCTGTATATCAGGTACTTTTCTGGATGATGTGGTTACAGGCACAACACAGAAAAGGATCCTAGTCTCAGGGAACTTAACTTTCAGTGGAGGGAGACAGAATAAAAATAAATAAATAACATAATGTCTTAAGTTTCATAAACAAACAAACAAAAAAGCAAGATTAAATGTAAGGGTGTGGTGTGGCTGTTGTAGATGGTGTTCCAGTTACTAATGCTGTGTAACAAACCACCCTAATACTTAGCAGTGGAAAACAACCATTTTATATAAAATAATGGATTTTCTGAATCAGGAATGCAAATGGGCACAGCAAGGATAGCTAGTTTATTCTCCACTATGTATGAGGTCTCAGCTTGAAAGACTTTACAGTGAGAGCATGATTCTATGGCTGGAGACTAGAGTCATCAGGAAGCATCTTCACTCACATGTCCGACAGTTCTGCTGCCTGTCCACTGGTACCTTATTTGGGCTGTTGGCAGGAACACTTACATGTAGCCCTTCTCTCCATGAGTCTGGACTTCCTCATAATGACAGTTTCAATGCAGTCAGACTTCTTTGGCTCTGAGCCCTAAAAGCAAATGTCCTAGGGAACACATTAGAAGCTGCATGGTGCCTTTGTTTCCACCTAGTAAACCATCAAGACTATTAACTTTTTAAAAACTTGATTTCACAGATATTTTTATAATTGGAGTACAATTCATATGCCATAAAACTTACTCTTTTAAAATACACACTTTGGTGATTTTTAATATGTTCACAGAGTTGTACAACTATCATCGCTGTCCAATTCCAGAATATTTTCATCACTCCAGCAAGAAACCCCATACCCGTTAGCTCCTCATTCTTCCTTCCGCCACAGGCAACCACTGATCTGCTTTTTGTCTTTATAGATTTACCTATTGTAGACAGTTCATACAAATGGAATCATACAGTATGGAGTCTTCTGTGACTGGCTTCTTTCACTTAGCATAAAATTCAGTGTTCCTCCCTGTTTTAGCATGTTATACTTATTTCATTCCTTTTTATGGCTGGATAATATTCCATTATATGGATATACCACATTTTGTTTATTTGTTCAGCAGCTGATGTACATTGGGTTGCATCCATTTTTTGGCTACTATGAATAATGCTGCTGCTATGAACATTTGTTTATGCATCTCCTTTTATGGCCTATTTTCAGAAGTCACACAACATCATTTCTGTCATACCCTTACTCCCTGAAGCAGTTGTAAGCCTGCACAGGTTAAAGTGGTAGAGACAGAGACCACACCTTTACATTACAGAAGAGCATGTGAGATGGGAGATACTGCCACAGCCATCTTTGAAAAATAACATCTTTCACAGATACTATGTTCAGCGAAAGTGATGGTTGATGGAAAGTGATGGTACCTGTTGCAAAGGTAAAAGGGAAGAGCTTTCCAAAGAGAGCAGCTGGTGCTCCATTTCCCCTCAAACTCCAATACAGTTATTGTGGCTATAGGCAAATAGGGAGGTGTTAATATTTGATGTGTGAGGGTAACTATTTAATGAGCATCTACTATGTGCCACCTGCTGTGTAAGTGCATTACAGCTATTATTTCATTTAACATTTGGAATAATCTTTGATGATAGATAGCAAATGCAATTTTTTAAAGGTGAGGGATCATAAGATCAGAATATTTAAATGTTATCTGTACACAGCTAAGAGGTGGTAGAAGTGTAATGAAGATTCTAATTAGTGTGTCTGACTATAAAGCCCACTTTTACTTTTTAAACTACATACGTCCTGGCCTCAAAAAATCCTAATTTGAAGACCACTTACAAATATAAATAATCGTAATTTTTAAATGAATGCTTTGTAAATGCCCAACAGGAAAAGGTAATCAAAAGAAATTAGGAAGTAAAATAAATCCCCAATGATACTAGCATTCCTTAAACATAAAGTAACTCATGCTGGTCTATTATTCTAATACTTCTTTTCAACTAGGGATTACATTTACATTTCAACAATGTTAAGTTATTGTAAATAAGTGCTACTATTTAAAATACAATAAATTTCATACTATTATTTTCTTGCCAAAAATATAATTTTCTCTCTTTAAAAATTTGTAGTTTAGAATTCTCTATTTTTGTGGTTTAATTAGGTAAAACTTTAGTAACACTGTTTCTTGTTTATTCAAATAAAATATTTTCTAGAATAGAATTGTTTTTATAAATGTCACAAAAAATTATTTGTTTCTCTGGAGTTCAGTTACCCCTGCTATAAATTTGCTATGGAAGAAGATATGCCATATTTAGAATAACAAAATTAATTGTGTCACAATTAGGGTAAATTATTTCTGAAGAAGATGAATACATCTCATTTAAGAAGCAGATGATCTGAGAAACAAATATATTATTTCATATGCAGTGTCATCAACTGAAGAACAAATTAAGAATCTAATGCAAGAAGAGTCCACTTGTTTCTGAATGGAAAGTTTATAGTTGCCACAAAATTATCAGTTTCTCTTTAAAGACAAGAAAACATTTCTGTATACCTTTTTTAATACTTCAAAAGTCTGGTCTTTAAAAACAGTTTGTATACCCATCCTTGGTGGATACACATTGATTCATAATTCAAATCTGGACACCATGTTTTTATAGGGAAGAGTGATTATTGTTGTTATTATTTGAGTATGAGAAATCTTGAAACAACTTACGAAATTGTAACTTTTATATTTTAAATGTTGTGTCACATATTGCATTTTTAAACTTTGACTGTGTTTACCCTTAAAAAAATAAGAATTTAATTCCTTTATTCTGGTCTTCAGCGTGGACCATTTTACTGAGGGACACTCATTCATTCATCAAAGAATTATTTATTGAATATTAAGTATCAGGCATTACATTAGGTACTGGGAATACAACGATGGTAGAAGATGTTTTTGCCCTCAAGTGGCTTGCTGTTCACTGAGGTGATAAGACATGGAAAACAGTTATTACTGTGCAAGAAAATAACTGCTTTACTAGTTCCATACAGTGGAGTGGAAGGAAAAGGAAAAGTGCTTAAGCCTGCAGGGAGGGTCCGGCAGTGGAAAAGGGGAAGCAGGAAGAGAGGAGGCTGGACACATAGATAGGGATTGAAATGTAACAGTTTTAGATTTGATCCTGTGGGCTAGGGAAAATTACTTGTGAATTGAGAGCAAGGCGATACTGTGATCAGATTTACATGGTCAGTGTTAGGGAGCGATTGGCAGGAGCTGAAGCCAGCCTCTTCCTTTTACCTCAGATGGTGTCTCGCACTTTTTTTGGACCTTGAAATTTCTAGTACATTACCATTATTAATGCTGGGCTTTTCGTGACAGTACTAGAAGTAGTAGTTGTGTATCAGATCTGTAATACATTCTTGACTACTGCTTCTCTTGTGAATGACTCACTGTCAACATTTTCCCCTCTGTCTTTACAGAAGATTTGTTTACACATTATGTAGGAATCTTGCTGCAACCTATACTTCATCTAGCAATAGTGTTCCTTCGCCTTTTACGTTGTTTTAATCTGGTATAAAGACAGGTGAAGGGTATTTTGAAGATACTTCACAAAGAGTGTTAGAAATCAGTTTAAAGCCAGTTTATTAAATGTCCAATGTCAGATACATGGCAGGTTTTAAAATAAACTTGAGTTTTAAGTGAACTTAATTTGTTTCTTATGGCAAATTAGAAAAACATAAAACTTACAGTATAAATATGCCATTTGTTGAAAAAAGAATATTTTTAAGGTATTTGTTCTCTTATCTCTTTTGATGAAGAATGCAGCTTACAATGCAGTTTTCCAACTTGGGAAGCATTTAACAATACTGCTAATGTAGAAAAGGCTAGCTTTGTTTTGTTTTGTGTTTTTAACAGGTTACAGCGGTTCAGTTCTAGCTGGCATATGCACTGTGCATTTAGTGTGCTACATCTTGAAAACTGCATTTGTATGTATAGTTTTAAATGAATGTACTTTTGCTCTTTTGTACATTCGAAGGAAATAAACTTATAGTAAATTATGGACCATATGATATCTTGAGGGGATTTTGTTTTTATAATCTGTGCTGTATTTTCACACCTAGAAATTATAAAAGAAATTAGAAATCACATATAAACTCTTACTGCTAAATTTTATTATTTGATTTGGCTCCTATTGAATCCAAACCATTTTATGCAGTGCTAATTATTTAGAGTCTCAGCTTTGCTCTTGAGTTAGCAGTACCTGATCCACTTTCCAACTGTAAAACAGTTTGAAAATCAAATGTAGCTTACATGCAAGACCCAACAAAATTAAAAGTGTTAAGTGCGTTTTGGCAGTTCACTTTTATTATGCCCAGTCCTCAAATGTACCAGCAGATAATCATCTGAATGTTAGTTATTTTTCACATGCTTATGTGATCACACAAAAAGTACATGCTAAAAAGAGGCAGATGGTGACAGATGGGGAAGGTTGAATAAGGTGGTTTTGGAAACCTAGAGAAATGCACTTCTGTAATAGTGTAAAAATAAAAATTATTTGATAATCAAGTTAGAACTAACAAAGATTGCAAAAAATGACTTGATTGTTGGGAAATATATCTAGCTGTGGTTGCTATTGAGAAAAAAATGCATCTAATTTTATTTCATCTAAATGTAAAATGATTTGTTTTTCCAGTGGCTGAAGTGCAGTATTTGATGCATTCTTTTTAGTTTTTTAGAACCCCATTCTTAGAAAATGTTTTGCTTGCCAAAATTTTCCTGATTTTTTCTTTGAAACCTACTATCTTTAATATCTTGCATATAATGTAACATTTTTAAAATAGCTGAAATAGATGAGAATATTTTGACAACTATTTTGATACAAAGATTTGCTCAAAGTCATTGTGTTAGCTCATAGTACACATGGAGATTAATTTCTATATAAATTAAAAACCAAAGATATATATTAACTTCCACAAAAGGTAGTAAAGGCAGTGCCAGGGCATGGACTAGTGTTGTAGGTGTGGGAAATAGTTAGAAGCTAACTTGCTTGAAATGTATTAAACAGAATTTTCTTTATTTTAAATCCAACAAAGAATAAATGTAAAATATGTCATTTTGTGGGTGCTGCCAATGTTGTTTTTAGGAGATCTGAAGAGAAATGAATGAGGCTAAAGTTACATATGTTTGCACATTTAATCTGTAGGTAAAAATAGTAGCACATGTAGTTACATTCTGATTAGTCTTTGCACAAAGTCCTACTATATTCCAGCAGATTGTAAAACTAGTCTTAGAATCTCTATGCTTTTTGTGAAAAGAAAGAGTTGTTTTAGTAGCCTTTCTAAAATTGTGGACAACCCTAACATTTTATTTACTTATTGATAATTCATATGATATCTCTCCACCTGGGGTAATTTTGAAAACCTTCATCTTCCTGGGAATTCAGAAAAGGTCTCATCACCATGATTAAAGGGAACATTAAAGGAGTAGAGGGATGAGTTCAGATAGAAGCTGTCTGCTCTATAGTTAGAATTCATGTTTAAGAACTTCTAACTCTCATATGAGTTGGCTTACTATTTAGTTGAATATATTTAATTTCTTTCTATAGTATGTTGCTATTTTATATGATTTTCTGGGTAATATTAAAAGCCATTCCATTTTATCTCATAATTGGACATTGTTTAAATATGAACTAAAATGGAATTAACGCCTCTCAATGTTTATAAGTGGCATCTTTTACTTACTTAGAGGTCTGTCAGTTCTTAAAGTAGCTATTTTTCGCCCTAACTTCTTTTCAATGTTATATGGTCTTTTGGCTTTAACAGAATATTTGCATTCAGTACTTCGGTGTGATTCTAGTTTAAGCATGAAGTTTAATTTTAAATTCTCTGTACCATGAGAACATATACAAAACTAACCCTAACTGGAAACACTGGTGATTACCTATAGTATTTTACAATGGCTATTGTTACTTGGGTTATGAAGGCTCAGTTTCTTGGAATCCCATAATGTCTATTGCTTCAGAATAAAAAAGAAGTATAGAAATTTCTTGGAAGATATGTGTAAGTATGATCTAATCATCATTATTGTATCCATTTAGCCTTTCTCTTGTCAAAGGATTTTTCCTGTGCTAGCCAGAGTTTGCTTTTGAAAGTACGATGTTAACTGTATACAAGTATTTGTGTGTGCTAGGAGAGGTGGCCATAAAGCGTACAGCATTCTAATTCATAGCAAATGGCATTGACAGTTGCTGTCACTTAAGAACTATTAAAGCAGTTGAGAAATAGTTATAAAATATATATTTATGAAGAAAATACCAAGCAACTGTAGAATTTATAATCTTATGTATTGAAATGGATACTTTTCCTGAAGCTGCAGTTTACTTTAAAATCTGAATGAGAAGATTTATAGGTCTTTTTTTCTTAGCCCATACCTGTGATGTTAAGAATATCTGAAGGGCTCCCATAAATGATAAATGATACAGATGTATGTTTAGGTATAAAACACACATCTATCAGTTACCTGAAATGTAAGGCTACCAGAAAAAACTTTTTTTTTGAATTAGTGGTAAATTGGTTCATCCAAGTTCGCAGTTTACTTTCACAGCATAGGTGTGCAGACAGTTTGTTTAGATGTTTAATTTTTTCCCCCATCTGTTCTGTCAGGATTATTGATTGAGCAGTAAGCCACTCCAGGGCATACATAGCCTCCTTATAATTGCTTGCCTTGGGTGCATTGTGTGGCCTGGTGGGCAAGCTGAGAGAGGGGTCCCTTTAACCTCCTAGTAAATCCTCCTGGTAAACAAATATTGTAATGAATAGTTTTTTTTTTGTTTTGAAAAAGCCCATTAGCCAAATAAATATTTACATTAGTAACTTGAATTGGTAGTATCATTTAAAAATATATAGTTTCTCATTCAATATCATTCTTTGAAATTAATAACAATTCAAAAACTAATGTGTTTTAACTCACCTGGCTGTTTTATAAATGTAAGTGTCTTCATCAAATATTGATCAAATATTTCCAGGATATTTAATGTTAATTTGTATCTGCTGTAACCTCCTTGAGTCTTAGGTTTTATCGTATCATAAAGTAAAGCAGTTTCTGGCTCCTATTAGAAATACAGCCTTGTTTTCTAGACTTTGTGCTCTGTTTAAGTTTTCATTTGATGTGACCTCTCATCATTTTTTAACAATTACATTTTTTTGATGTTCCAAATCTCCTCTTTCATCTCTGTTTGGGCATTTGTGTTAAAGGTAGGTATAATGTACAACTACATCTGTGGTTACAAAGGACTGTAGGGGTAGAGGAAATACCAAATGTCTGCTTTCCTATTTAAAGTTTGGGTTTCATTTACAAGTCAGTAATGTTGGTTTTATGGAAAGGAGACAGAAGTTATTTCTTCAAGATAAATCTTTCACTGGATTTTTTCAGGAGCATATTTTGATCTGCATTTATATCCAAATTATATGAGAAATTAACCTTTTAATGAAGTTGAAATATGCTCTACCATTGTTGTACCTGTCCATTATACCACTGTTTATCATACCTTTCAGCCAGCCCTCACAATAACCATGAAATAAATTAGCCTTTTAGCTAGAAAAAAATGATCAGAGGTAGCCAGAAAGAATTTGCAATCCTTAAGTTAAAAAAATGTAAATTTTATATGTTATGTATTTATAGAATAATAAGTGCTTTGAGTAGAGGGAGAAAAATTGTCTTCTTAAAATAATGTGAAAGAGGTTATTGGATTCGAATTGGTTAATTTGGCTGTGGGATTTCCAGAGTATTTGAAAGTATTGTGTTTTGAAATAATTTAGATTCAGGAAAGAGAAAGGATATTGTTTTAATAGTGGGAACATATGTATCCACATGTAGGATACTGTAATCATTATTTATGTATGTTTCATCTTATAGCTGTTTGGAGATAGGATTTGGACAAAAATCTTTCTAATTGATAGTGAAGTCTCTTAGGTAAAGAGGGATTTTAGTTGTTAGGGTGTTTTCTTCTCAGCATTGCTTAAGTTTACATGTCAGGAAGACAATACGTTACATCAGTTTTGTTCAATACAAAGTAATACGGCAAACAGTTCTAATTATAGCATTATGTATCTGTAGATCAATTAAGGCACGTATGTTCAGAGGCAAAATCACTTATTTTAAGAATCGATATTCATTTTACAAAGCTAAATAAAATGTATTTTATTTTATCAAACAGATTTTTTTACAATGCAGTTTTATTTTTCAGTTGCTTACTTCTCTTCAAAAATAAAACCCCCCTTTTTTATGTACTCACTTTCCCTTCTGGCTGCAAACCAGGTATTTAAAAAAAATAAAGGATTGCCAGTTTTGCCAGCTGGGGATGAGAACCCGGCTGGTGAAATGTGGGTTCGGGAGGCAGTTAATCCAGCTTTTATGCTTTTTATGGTTTTATGAAAAAAAAAAGAGGTTAAAAACCACATTTGGCTCCTTTTCGTATATGCCACTGTTGTGTTGGTGTTGTAGGAATGTAGTTAAAGGTTACTTAGATATAAATTTTTGGTTGTTATTAGTTAAAATCTTGTGTCAATTAGATAAAGGCCCACCAACAGTGCATTGTACTAATTGGCCATGAGCGAGATCCTTGAATCATCAAAAGTCAGTGGTATTTTAAAATAATACATGCAGCATTTCCTTTAACGTAAATATGAAGTAGAATTTCTTCTGCTTTTTTAGGTTATTTTTTGTTTTCTATTTGTTCTCAAATTACTCATTTCAAACAAGTAAAAATATGACATTCTTTGCGCTGATGATGAAAACTAGAATTTGTTGTTCTTCCAGAAAATGTTTTTTTGTTAGTTTGTGATTTACAAAACATTTCTAGAAAAGCATAGGATCTAAACATGTGTTCATATCTTACCAGTGAAGTTTTCAGTTTTTTAGCCGTAAAACAAACATTGATATAATTGAATTAAAAATCTTTTCATAATAGAAATGCTTATTGAATAGATCTTTTAAGTAACATATTTTTTCTTATAAATTATATCCTTTGTCTTTAAATACCCTACCAAAGTGCCTTTCATAGTATTTTTAGGTAATCATAATGTAACTGTCAAAAATATCACCTGTAATTCTGTGAGATTATTGGTAAATTTTAAATAAAAGTCATGTAGGAGTAATCTTCCAGAAAATATTTAATTCGAAGCAAGAAAGTTTGGAACACAAGTACTGCTTTGTCCTTATCAAATGTTCTCCTTTGTAATCGGTTGTAAGTGTTTTTAAATTGATAAATTCATATATTTGGTTTTCCCCATCTGGTTTTCCAAAGCTGAGAGGATCAAATAAAATAAGCTTTAAGATTATCAAATATAGTTTTAAAATAAAATATTCAAAGTTGCATATAGATGAGGAATATTCCATTGGATGAAGAACAAATCTGATAAAAAGATAAAACCAAATTTTTCCTGGGGCAAATGGTAGGTTACCATGTTACCATTTGAACAGGTTGCTCCAGCATAGGCAAACGGATACTTTTGTATCATTTCTAACTAAATTTATTTTACGTGTAATATATTTTGGGAAAAATTTAAGGACATATACCACACAGATATTAAGTCCATTTTTTTTGCTGTAACAGGAATTTTTGTTGTGAGGTATAAAGCTGTGGCTATCAAAGTTTATTACAGCTCGTACCATAAGCTTTTATATTCACTTTGTCTCTTAAATAGTTCCAGAAAGAGTTGAAACATACAGGGGCATCCAAAGGTTTTTCAAAGTTATTTTAATGGTTGTCTTGCCCTGTAGACTTCTCCATTACATTGCCTTTGTTTACTACTGTCTTTCACTGTTTAATTTGTATTACTTAGTTCTTCTTAAGGCAAGAATGTACAGTGCACTTTATGTGCTCTATAATCAGCACACCCTAGCTCTGAGTTGTTACTTGAAGTCCACATGGGTGGAACCAGAATGAAAAAGTCAGTAGGCCTAAGAAAAAATATGTAAATATGCTAGCTAACGTTTTTCATTTGATCCTTATGTATATTCATGTACTTGGGATTTTTTTTTTTTTGTACGACCTGCCCCTTTTTTTGTACACTGGCCATTTGTGGATATATATTGAATATTTCACATATTTGATGTGATTTGTATTTTTTGTAGGATGCTTCACAGTTTAAATGTCAAGATCTCAGACTACCTAGGCTTTGAAAGTTAAGATTCATTTTTATGTAAAAATCTTATGTTTTATGAATAATGCTTTAAAAGTTAACATGTAATAATTAATCTTTTTACTGATTTCACTTTTAGGTGTTAGAAGATAATGACTATGGCCGAGCAGTAGACTGGTGGGGCCTAGGGGTTGTCATGTATGAAATGATGTGTGGGAGGTTACCTTTCTACAACCAGGACCATGAGAAACTTTTTGAATTAATATTAATGGAAGACATTAAATTTCCTCGAACACTCTCTTCAGATGCAAAATCATTGCTTTCAGGGCTCTTGATAAAGGATCCAAATAAACGGTAAGCCTCAAATAACGCTTAGTGAATTACTGATGAATGTGGTTAAAAATTGAGATATGGAAATTAATTCAAATATAACTAACTCCAAGAAGCAATGTATTTGGTGTAGACATCTTCCCACTGAGATCCTGACTTATTTTTAACTGCATAATATAGAACATTTAAAAATTTTTCTCAACTCTTTCCTAACTTGGAAATTTTATGCAGATTTACCAAATAAGGATTTTGAGAGTTTCATTATCCATATTATGAGTGAAAATTTCTTAATTGCTCTGTTACTTGATCTTGTGGGGATAGAAGAATCACTTTTCTTTCTTTCAGTCTCTGGGCCTTTGTATTTCTTATAAAAGGAATAGACCTATTTTTCAATACTCTCCTCCCACCCGCAACCTGTGTTAACATATCTAATTGCATTTTTTTTTTTTTTTTTTTTTTTTTTTGAGACAGAGTCTCACTCTGCCACCCAGGCTGGAGTGCAGTGGCGCGATCTTGACTCACTGCAACCTCTGCTTCCCAGGTTCAGGTGATTTTCCTGCCTCAGCCTCCCGAGTGGCTGGGACTACAGGCACCTCCACCACGCCTGTCTAATTTTTGTGTTTTTAGTAGAGACGGGGTTTTGCCAAGTTGGCCAGGCTAGTCTTGAACTCCCGACCTCAAGTGATCCGCCTGCTTCGGCCTCCCAAAGTGCTGGGATTACAGTCGTGAGCCACCGCACCCGGCCTCTAACTGCTTTTTTGTCATTTGAAAATAATCTTTTCTATGCATAGCTGAAAGAGTTGATGGCAAAAAATAATTGTACACACTTTTAATTTCTGTTTTTGTAGCTACAGCTATGAATTGAAGAACTCTATGGCTCTTGCTGCTTTGTTCAATGAGCTACAGTATTTTTATTCATGTTTATACATTCATTCATATTTATAAATTCATAAATCATATGTGAAATGACTATTAATATTAAAATGTTTCTTAATATGTGTGTTTGTATATGGATATATCTGCCTTCCCATCTAGGTATCTGTGCATATCAGTATTTCTCTGAGTCTACTCATTTGAAGCATAGATGATTTCACATATTGTTGAATATTTTATAATACCTCACATAGAGTTTTATGAAAATGTTTTACGTATGGTTGATGCTCATATATATATATATTATATATATATGAGTGGGTTAATGAGTGAATCCCAAAAAGTTGGATTTTTAAGTCTATCTGAGAAATGGTTTTCATTGTATTCTTCTAGCTTTTAACCTTGTAAGGAACATGGCTTTATCTTCAGCAGAAATAAGCAAACATAATAAAAGAGATATTGTCTTTCTGCTTTGTGAAGACTCATTCAAGAAACATTTTGTAATCCTAGCTGCAGATATTATTTATATGTGTAAAGTGATTTTGTTTTCTTCTTCAGAGCACTTTCACAGCTATTAATTCCCTTGCTTTTTCAGGAGCCTTGTTGGGTGGATAGGGGAGATACTATTCTTATTTCCATTTCATTGAGTTGAAAACAAAGGCCCAGAGAGGGTTAGGTGATTTCTTCAAGGTCTCTCAGAACATTCATGCAGACCAAGAGTAGAAGTCAAGTTTCTTGGTGCCTATTTGGTATTTCTTATGTATCTTATTTACAATGCAGCAGTTTCTCAGTTTAAGTTTTGAAATGTGTTCCGTTTGATAGCGTTCTTTTACAATTAAGTAAGGAGCAGCACCCGATGATAGGTAACTTTAAACAGAGTGGTGACTTTTATCTTTTTTTTTTTTTTTTTTTTTTTTTTTTGAGAGGGAGTCTCGCTCTGTTGTCTGGGCTGGAGTGCAGTGGCGCAATCTCGGCCCACTGCAACCTCCGCCTCCTGGGTTCAAGCAATTCCCCTGCCTCAGCCTCCTGAGTAGCTGGGACTACAGGCGCCTGCCACCACACCTGGCTTTTTTTTTTTTTTTTTTTTTTTGGTATTTTAGTAGAGATGGGGTTTCACCATGTTGGCCAGGATGGTCTCCATCTCCTGACCTCGTGATCCACCCCCCTCGGCTTTCCAAAGTGCTGGGATTACAGGCATGAGCCACCGTGTCCAGCCGACTTTTATCTATTTCATTTTTTGGTCTAATATTTGGCTTGGTATTCGAGGCAGTGAATATTTATCTCATCGTTTTCTTATTCCTGCAGGCAACTTTGACCACCCTTTACTTTGTGGCCCTCTTTATATAAGTGGCTAGTAGAACAAAATGTACTTGTGGTTTTCATGTGTATGTCTCATTCATTTTTTTTTATTTGTCAGCCCACTCCATGAATAGCACATAGTCGGTACTTAGGAACTATTGAATGAATGTGAGGCAAATTCTTAGAATGTTAACCGCCTAGTATGTATTAATAGAACAATTCCTAACTGTTTGTTCACCAGGAGGTTGATATTGATCTAATGAGAAGATGCAGTATTTTCAATGATCTAATAATTTCTTTTATAATAGATGTGTCAAGCCCCTCCACTGCTGCATCAAAATACAGAGAATACAAGGATGAGTGAGATGAACCAGTCTCTGCTCTAGATGTTCATAGAATAATTTGGGGCACAAAACATATACTCACAGATGCTCAGGTCAAACTACATACAAAGTACTGTTGAAATTATTGGCTTTGTCTAGGGGATTGGGGGACTTGAGCTGGATCAGAAAGGAGTTTGAATTTGCATTGGCACTCAAGCACAGAAATTTACATGTAGAGTATAGCTAGGATTGCAAAAGAACATGGCATTTGAGAAGTTCAGTGACTAGAGTGTAGAATATGAGTTGGGTAACACTGGGAAATGAAGCTGATATATTAGATTATAAGGATCTTAGGTTTCTTAGAAAATATTTAATCTTCATTCAGAAGAGGGTGAGATACTGCTTAAGTGTTTAAAGCAAGGGATAGTATAATCAGATTTGTGTCATGAAAAGGTAACTCTGGCAGCTTTGTCATGGACAGATTAGATGAGTGAGGATCCAGGGGCAGGCAGAGCAGTTAAAAGTGTTTATGGGGCCAGGCACAGTGGCTCACACCTGTAATCCCCGCACTTTGGGAGGCCGAGGCAAGAAGGTCACTTGAGGTCGGGAGTTCAAGACCAACCTGGGCACATAGCAAGATTCATCTCTACTAAAAAAAAATAAAATGCTGGGTATGGTGGCACATGCTGTAGTCCCAGCTACTTGGGAGGCTGAGGTGGGAGAATCGCTGGAGCCCAGGAGGTCGAGACTGCAGTGACCCAAGGTGACACCATTGCACTCCAGCCTGGGCAATAGAGTGAGTCCCTGTCTTTTTTTTAAAAAGAATATTTATGGAATTGTTCAGATAATAGATGGATTCCTTCCTGAAGCAGTAGTACACAAGTGATAGAGGTTATGATTAACTAGAAACTATGAGGAAGTAGGAGGAGTTAGGAATCCCTCTGAGGTTTCCAGCTAGGGTGATTAACAGACAGGGTATGCAAACCAAGGAGGCTTGATGGGGCTAGATGTTGATAATAACTTTGGGTACACTGAGTCTGAAGTTTCTATATAAAACCAAGATGGAAATGTCAAGTGAGCAGCTGGAAATAATAGAATGAATGCTTAAAAGAAACACAGTAACTGACTACATGGATTGGGAACCATAACTATATCTAGGAGGTAGCTAGAGCCAAGGCAGTAGTGGCAAGGGTAGTGGATAAGGAGAAGAGGGCCTAGGACAGAATCTTAGGGAACCTCAGTTTCAGGGGGAGAAAGAAAAGAAAGCTAACAAGGACCTTGAAAAGCCTTTGGAAACATAAGTAATGATAGCATTATAATACACCTCTTCATTTTTTCTACGCAGCTATTTTAAATACTACTGGAATTTTTCTGGTATTTCTTATTGAATTGCTGTTAGTTCTATCCAAGGGTCAACTATCATTTTGCTTTTATTTCTTAGTCTCCATCCTTTCTGTTCATTCTGTTAGCCCCTCCTTTATCTTCCTATGCGGAGTTGATAGGAAAAGCATGACCTCATGTATTCAGTAACATTAGGAAAATGTGAATTCTGTGATGTTCCTAATAGTAAAGGAATTTGTAGTAGCTGAGGATTTAGTCTGGCATTCTGATACTGGAGTTTAGTATTCTAGACATAAATATCTTACTTCAAAGCATATTTTGTTATTATTTTTGAAGTCTTAAATTGTATATTAGAGAGTCATTGACACTGAAATTTTTGACAGTTTCACACATTGAAGAAGTGTGTTAAAGAATTTCTCCTAGCTTCTAAAATGGAAGTCTGATTGTATTCTCAGACTTTGCATAGTATTCATAGCTGATATTTTAGTTTTATATGTATTTGATAAATATAGAATAAATGCTGGCTATGTTCAAAACCAAAGTATTGCTAGAAAACTTGAGGAGTTACAAAAATGGATAACTAAAGCTGGATTAAAACATTTTATTTACAAAATGATTATGATTCTCCACTCCAACTCCCATCTCAAGTACAATTCAAATGAAAACAGTATTGAAATAAACTACAACATAAGTGTAAGAAAATGCCATGGAGCTTTGATGTTTCTCATGCAGACTATGTTGACGCATGCTTGAAAATATTAAATGCTTTTCAGAAACGTGTTTTGGTGCTTTTGCTTCTCTGGTTCCCCAAGCACAAGCTTAGAATGCCTTTTGGATAATCCAGCACTGATCTTGCCTTCAAAGGAGTTTGCAGTCTCCTGGGAAAGAAACCTACACAACTGAAATAGAATGAAAAAGAGGGCAGGGTCTGAAATGCTGAGCTCTCACTGAACACAGAACTACCAGTCTGAAAATTCCAAATGCAAACATCGAACAGCACTATTATGATCAAACCTAAAAGTGCCATCTCTGGGGTATAGTTCATTTAGAGAATTCTATAAGGATCTGGGAGTTGGAGACCCAGCTGGTGGGAATTATTTATCATCACTAAAGATATTCAGGTATCAGTTGACTGTTTTCCATTTTAATTGTGTGTCAAAGGATACTAGGTCCTTCCCAGTCATGTGTTTCTTAGATCTAATAACCAGAATTCATTAGAATTATATAATTATAAATGATTTCTGACCTACGATGGCTTGACAATTTTTTGACTTTATGATGGTGCGAAACTGATGCGTATTTAGTATGCTCCTCAACTAATGATGGAATTGCATCCAGATAAAACCATCTTAAGTTGAAATGTGGGCTTATCTAGACATAACCCATCATTAAGTTTAGGAGCATCTGTATTTGTTTTCTATGACGTATTTGGTTTTCTTCCAACCCAGTGGTGTTTTGGAGTTAGCATATACCAGCTCTCAAGAACCAACTGTTAAATTTTCACCAATTTTATGAGCTGGTTGTATATTATAGTCATTACTAAAAATTATATAAATTTACTAATAATAGGAAAATCAAAGGTCATAAATACTAAAAAGTCATTACTCCTTAATTTGTTATGTTTCACTGTTATCTGTATTTTTGAGATTAGTTATGTCTGCTGTATCTGTTTGGACATAATATATAATGGTTTGCTACTATGCATCTCTTCCTGCCTACATGTTCAGTGACATCTTATTGGTAGCTCGAAACTGGCCACAGTGGAAGAATTTATACCGCCAGAATTGGCAAATACTATGAGTTGGGGCTGCACTTACTGTTTTGTTGACTGTTTAGACTTAAGAGAAAATATTAATAATGCAGATTCATTACATTGTAAATAGCACCAAAAAATGAATCTTCTTCCACCATCCCAAAGTTACTAAACATTTAGCAAAGAAATCACTCACATAACTGACAAGTGAAGTTCTGAAGTCTCCATTGTATCACTTTCAGCTTTGACTTTAACATAAACAAAAATGTCAACCAATATTCATGTTGGAACTAATCGTAAGTTTCATCCATTAGTGGCTTTGGCGTACAGCAGAAATTAACAAGTTTTCTGTGAGAATCAGGTGACTAATTTACAATACACAACATTGTATGTTTTATGATCTTTGTAAATTTTGTGTTTTGCATTCTTTATATCAGTAAAATTTAAATTTATATGTCTGGGGTGTGGTGGTGGCTAGGTCAGGCAAGGTTTGGTCCCAGCAGCTCCATGGCTGCTCTGCTCTGAGCATCTGGTATCTACTGTGCCTTTGAAAAAAAAAAGAAAAAAAATTATATTTGTATAAATGCATGATTGCTCACAGAGAGCTGGTTGTTAAGCACTTACCAGCACATATCATTTCTAATAATGAACAAGTCCAAATAAAGCCTACTATATAAAATTCAGATTTAAATAGGTTTATTTTATCTTCCTTTCCTTGTTCTTTTCCCCTCTTTTCCTCCTGTTCTTCCTATTTCTCACTTTTAGTTCTTTTATGCTTAGTAATATATACTATATTAAACTGAATAAGCCAGAAAACACTGAAATTTCTTTACCTATTATTAGTCCATTTTCATTCTGCTATGAAGAAATACCTGAGACCGCATAATTTATAAAGAAAAAGGGGTTTATTGGACTTACAGTTCCACATGGCTGGGGAGGCCTCACAATCATGGCAGAAGGTGAAGGAGGAGCAGAGGCACATCTTACAGGGCAGCAGGCAAGGGCATGTGCAGGGGAATCGCCCTTTATAAAACCATCAGATCTCATGAGACTTATTGACTATCATGAGAACAGCATGGGAAAAACCTGCCCCCATGATTCAGTTACCTCCCACCTGGTACCTCCCATGACACATGGGGATTATGGGAGCTACAGTTCAAGATGAGATTTGGGTGGAGACACAGCCAAACCATATTCCTATGTTGTTTCTAACCCTTGCAGTGACCCACCAGCAAACGTTATCATTCCCCACTCTGCAGATGAGAAAACTGAGGTTAAGCCTCTTTTCTGTTGTCACACATCTCATAAGTGCCAGACATGATTGCCTCTTCCAGATCTATCTCTAAAGCCTCTGCTCTTTTCCAAATACCATACTGTTCTGAAGCTAGTTCTTACAAGCATATTAGGAAAAATAGATCTTATAGCAAAAGCTTTTTACTTTTAGAGCTATTTATCCCAAGAACTGTTTATTACACAGAAAATTACACTTTCACAAAATATTTTTTGTTATGCTTTGAGCTTATGTAAATGTTTTATACTTACTTAATTTTATTTCTGTTCTCATAGCCTTGGTGGAGGACCAGATGATGCAAAAGAAATTATGAGACACAGTTTCTTCTCTGGAGTAAACTGGCAAGATGTATATGATAAAAAGGTAAGATTTCTTTATGGCATAGTGTGTATATATTTTGGCTGCACTGCTAAAATGAATTTATAGCAAAAATATTTTAAGTGAATAAAAGTTAATGATGTAATGATACTTTCCATTTTACCGACATTTAAGTGATTATTGAACTTCTGTGCACAAAATTTTACTCATGATTTTGACTCCCCAAATGCCTCTTGAGATTTTGCTCAACATGATCACAGAATTTTTCTATTTTTTTCCCATAATAATTTGTTTGCCTCTCATTATTTCTTTAATTTTAATAAAGATACCAAGTGTTAATTTTTCTTTAAGAAAACTAGTTAAAATTTTTTAATTTGCCCTTATGTCTTTAATTTTAAAGTGAACACTTCAGATTCATTTATACAAATCCTTGTTTTAAAAGAAATTTAAAGAAATTTGTTTTTAATATTTAATGAAGGTAGTAAACACAGTGTCTTACTTTGGACTTCTCTGTCATTTGAAACAGAACTTTATTGCCCACAAAATTAATACTACTAGGCCAGGCATGGTGGCTCATGCCTGTAATCCCAGCACTTTGGGAGGCTGAGGTGGGAGGATCACTTGAGGCCAGGAGTTTTGAGACCAGCATGGGCAACACAGTGAGACCCCATCTCTACAAGAAAAAAAAAAAATCAACTGGGCGTGGTGGCGCACTCCTAAGAAGGCTGCTAAGGCAGGCAGGAGAATTGCTTGAGCACAGGAGGTTGAGGCTGCAGTGAGCTGTGATTACACCACTGTACTCCAGCCTGGATGACAGAGTGAGACCCAATCTCTTAAAAAAAAAAAAAACAAAAAACAAAAAACCACTACTAATTACATATGTTTAGTTTTATTGTGATCTGCTTATTACTTTTTATTCATTTATTTATTTATTTTTTGAGGCAAGGTCTCTGTTGGCCAGGCTGGAGTGCAGTGGCACGGCACGATCACAGCTCAGCAGCCTCTACCTCCCCAGGCTCAAGTATCCTCTCACCTCAGCCTACCAAGTAGCTCGGACTGCAGGCATGAGCCACCATACCTGCCTACGTTTTTGGTACTTTTTGTAGGTTTTGCCATGTTTCCCAGTATGGTACTGAATTCCTGGGCTCAAACAATCCTCTCTCCTTGGCCTCCCAAAGTGCTGGATTACAGACGTGAACCACTGCACCCACCCTTCTTGTTCTTAGTACTGCAATTTTTGCTTAAGTTCAGGAGCAGGAAATTATTATGTCTGTCCCCCCCTCCCCCTGCTTTTTTTTTTTTTTTTTTTCCCCCACTACCTCAGATATTGTTAGTACAGACAGGGATTTTGATACTTTGATTTTCAGATGCTTGTATAAAATGTTTACTATGAAATGTTTTTCATTCAATAATCTACTCCGAATTTTTCTGTAATTATTTTTAGTTCATCCATTTCAGTTTATTCCAACATTTCATATTTTTCTCTGAAACATTTATTAGTCAACAACATTTATTTGGGGTCTGTTATGTGCCAAGTGTTCTTCTCTGTTAAGCCTTAAGGTAAACATAGAATTATGTCATATGAATTAGATGAGTTAGGAGGAAGTAACACAAGCACTTCATGTCTGTATTATGTTATTGGTTACTGGGAGTATGGTGATTTTCTGTTTCTTGTAACTAGGAATTTAAAATAGGTGCATCATATTAGACACCTCTACTCGATTCAACTCACATATCTTGAGTTTCTACTATGTATAAAGTACCATGTTAAGTACTGAATCCTTCACAACCTTTATGAGAAGCACTTGAGCATTCCTAAATGTTTATTCACTTCTTACAGACAATTTTATATCCACTTAGTATCACTGAGGATGTTCCTTATGAGTTGCATGCATATATAGGAATGCCTCTAATGAGCTGTGTACTGTTTTCATCGTGTCAGTACACTACAAAAGAACCTGGAAGGAAGAAGGGCTTGCTGTCTCTCCCAGAAATCATGCATGGTTTTATTTTTAATAAATAGCTAATAATAAGCTACAACTAAATATCATCCTTTCTAGACACCCTCTTCTAGGAGGACTTACTCCAAAAAAAAAGAAGAGGAAAAGAACCATTTCTTTAAGAGACAATGGTTGAGGTACCAATGTGGCCCTGTAAATTCAAGGAAGGGCCAAAATATGGACCTTCTTAGTCCTGTGAGGAAATAAGATTTGCTACAACGTTTCCTTATCTCAGTGTTCAGCTATTCATGTTGAATAAGAGTTTGGCCCCACCTGGAGAAAGCTCTGAGAGCCCAACCAGTATACCAGTAAGGAAGCAAGGCCTGTCCTATCTCAGCTCCACTGGGTTAGACATGCCCAGTGTAAAGGTGATAGTAAGACAGCCAGGAGCTACCATGTGGGAATGGAATTAGGGGAGCCAGCAGCTCTGGCAGGGAGGAGGAGCTGCCTAAACACCTTCTGATGACATGTAGATAAATTCGTTCAAGTTGTTATAATTATTTTTTTTTAATGGGTGCCACTTAATTTGAGCAAAGGTGTTAAATATCTTGCATAAAGAAGCACAACCCAAAATGACTGTTTCTGTAAACAATAGATTGGTCGTGGATTGGTGCCATCTACAGGCTTACTCACGGTGTCCTGTGTGACCCGCGAGGCTCTGGTGTTCTCTGCCGCCCCATATATACTTGAAGGAGCAACTTTATTATAGCAGCACTTTTAAATTTGAGTTTCTTTCTAAAAGGAAAATGTGATTGAGTCTATTTGGGTTTGTATCATATCACAGATGAACATGAAATTAATTTTGAGAACCAGCCTGGGGGTTAGTAGCTGTTTTAATGAATTCAGTTAAAATTTCAGTGTTTTAGTGTAAATTACTAAATAATTTATAAAATAAAACATTTTAATGGAGTCCTTATATCTTTAAAATGTGTAATTTATTGTAAAAGTCAATTCATTCCTAAGATCAGGGATTATTGTTACATTTTTATTGTTTTGATAAATTTATTCTTAATTTATTATCACATAATTATTGGTTATTTTTCTACTTATTGCTGCACATCGAGAGGTGATGGCACATCTAGAGATTCTGGCATCTGTTGAGGAGATCTGAATCTCTTTCTAGGCAAAGTAAAAAGTGAAAGTAATCTTAATTACAAGTAGCATGATGTACCACTCTAAAGAGCACAGTATCAAAACATGAAAGAACAAAGTTGGATCCTGGTCCTGGATTTGCTTCTTGCTTTCTTTGTGGAAATGGACAGGTCATTTACTCATGCAAAAGATATGATCCTTTAACTACCTTCAAGCTTTTAAGATTCTCTAGCAGGGTGTTTTATAGCATGAATTTATCTAGATTAATGTCTATATAGATTTCTACGTAAATTTTACACTCTGTCAGTCTGCTAAGATTTTGTGTGAGATTGTGTTGAATCTGTAGATAAATTTAGGAAGAGCTGACATCTTAACAATGAGTCTTCAGATCCATGAATGCAATTTATTTCTCCATTTATTTAGGTGGTCTTTAATTTCTCACAGTAATGTTTTGTAATTTTCAATGTTTAAGTCTTACACAAATTTTGTTAGGTTTATCCTTACGTGTGTTTCATGTCTTCCAAGGGAAATGATATTTAAAATTTCATTTTCACTTTGTTTTACTGCCAGTATATAGAAATACAGTTGGTTTTTTCATATTGACCTTTTCTCCTGCAGGCTTGCAAGAATTAGTTGTAGTAACCTTTTTTGTAGATTACTTACAATTCTCTGCACAGACAATCATATCTTCTGTAAATAAAGTTTTACTTCATTTCTAATCTGTATGCATTTCCTTTCTTCTTTTGCCTTGCTGTATTGGCTAAGACCTTCATTATAATGTTGAATAGTGGTAAGAGTGAGCATCCTGACTTTGTTTCTAGTCTTAGGGAGAAAAGCACCTTTTACCATTAAATATGATGTTAATGAGCACATCTAGCAGCCAGATCTGGGTTTCTAACTATTATTCTCCAATAAAAGGAACCAAGGCTCCTTGAGGACGCGACTGATTTCAGCACTAGTATAGGGGGAGAAAAAAAGATGAGCGTGGAGAATTTTGTGGTGTCAGAAAGTAAGGAGGGAGCCTTAAAAAAAAAAGGCAAGACCTAGAAAACAGCCCAAGCTGAAGGGTCCTGTAGCAGAAGCTGAAACAATTTCAGTAATAAAGTAAATATAGTGTTAGTTTATGATCCAAAGGATGAAATATGTAATCATGAGTCTATATTGCATAAATAAGTGATTGATTGTCTAAATAAAGTGTTGAGAGGGACATGTCTTCCTTACAGATGAATTCCAATTAATGTAAAAGAGGTGAGTAGAGTAGAAAATCAAATCACCATTAGAACTCCAGAGTGAAAATTGCTCATTCAGAATTCACCTATGAATATTAAAATTAGTAAGCAAAAGTTTAGGAAAGAGGATATTTCCATACTCTCAAGATATCTCCCTGTGAACATTTATCATTTACAAAGGTAAAATGACTAACTTTACAGTGGAGAGATCTGGAAAACACAGTTTTAACCAAGTGATCACGGTTAACATCACCAGTAAGTAAGATGTTGACTTCATGGAACCCATGATAAGATGCTCTGAGAAGGGCACAGTACTTTTGAAGTGCTCTCCTCCAAGATGCATAACCTCAGTATAATCATGAGGAAACCTGAAGAACTCACAGGGAGGGACATTCCTCGAAATACCTGGCCTGATAACTTTAAAAGTGTTAGCCTCATGATAGGCAAAGAATGATGATGGAACACTCATAGATTGGAGAGACTAAAGTGGCATGATGACTTAACTGCGATGTGGGATCCTGGGTTGGGTCCTGGACTAGGCAGGGGCATTGGTGGAAAAACTGGTGAAATTGAAATAAAGTTGGTAGTTTAGTTAATAGTATTGCACTGATGTTAATTTCTTTGTTTTGATATTCATACTATGGCTATACAAGATACAGAGGAAGGTGGGTAAAGGGCATATGGTAACTATGTGTACTATATTTTTGTAAGTCTTCTCTAAGTCCAGAATTATTTGAATATGTTATAAAAACATGATGTTATAATATAGATGTTTTATGCCTCCTTTATCAGATTGAGGAAGTTCTAGTCCTAGGTTACTGAGAGTTTTTAAAATCATGAATGGGTATTGAATTTTATTAAAGCTTTTTCTGCACTTACTGCAATGATCATATGGCTTTTCTCTTTTATGTTCTGTTAAAATGGTGAATTAACATTGATTTTCCAAAGTTGAGTGAACCTTGCATTCCTGTTGAAAAAAACCACTTGTTCATGATGTGTTATTATATATTGCTAGCGTTGGTACATTGTATTTCTAAGGATATTTGCATCCTGAAATCCTGAGTGATATTACTATGTCATCTTCTTTTCCTAAAATGTCTTTGTATAATTTTCACTTCAGGATCATGTTTGCTTTTTAAAAACAAAAGGGGAAGTACTCCTCCTTTCTCTTTAATTTTATTGAATTGTTTGTATGGGATTTGTATTATTTATTAATGAAATATTTGGTGGGATTTACTAGTGAAGCTCTCCCTAGACCTGGAGTTTTGTCTTTGTTGGTAAGTTTTTCACTGTGAATTCAATTTATTTAATAGTTACAGGGCTGTTGTGGTTATCTGTTGTTACTCAGATGAATTTTGCTCTTTGTGTCTTTCAAGGAATTTATCATCTAAGTTAAGTTTCTCTCTAAGGACTGTTAGTCATGCTTTGCACATTTTGATGTGCTGTGTTTTCATTTCAAAAGAGTTTTAATTCCCCTTGTGATTCCTTCTTAAGGGTTATTTGTAAGTGTGTTGATTAATTTCCAAATATATGGATTTTTCAGATATCTTTCTGTTACTGATTCCTAGCTTAATTCTCTTTTGGTTGGAGAACATATTTTATATGATTTTAATTGTTTTACACTTTAAAAGATTTGTTTTATGGCCCAGAAAATGGCTTATGTTGCTGTATGTTCTATATACACTTGAAAGAATCTATACATTGACCCTTGAACAATGTGGGAGTTACGGGCACCATGCTCAAAAACCCAGTAACTTTTGACTTCCTAGAAACTTAACTACTAGTAGCCCACTGTTGACGAAGCCTTAATGAACAGTTGATTAACACATATTTTGTATGTTATTTGTATTATATACTGTATTTTTATAATATAGTAAGCTACAGGAAGGGAAATATTATTAATAAAATCATAAGGAAGAGGAAATATATTTACTATTCATGAAGTGGAAGTGGATTATCGTAAAGGTCTTCCTCCTCGTTGTCTTCATGTTAAGTAGGCTGAGGAGGAGGAGGAAGAGGAGGGATTGGACTTGGCTGTCTCAAGAGGTGGCAGATGCAGAAGAAAATCCGGGTGTACGTGGGCCCATGCAATTCAATCTCATGTTGTTCAAGGGTCAACTGTATTCTGCTTTTATTGCATAAATTGTTCTACCAGTGTTCATTAGGTCAAGACAGCTGGTAGTATTGTTTATGTCTTCTATATTCTTACTGATTTTCTGCCTACTTGTTCTATTGGTTTCTGAAAAAGATAGTTGATGTCGTCAACTATGATCGTGGACTTTATCTTTTAGGTTTTGCCTCATGTGTTTTGAAGCCTCATTGTTAGTTGCATACATATTTAGATTAAGGATTGTTTTCTTGGTGAATTTACCTCATCTTTTTTTCTTTTTCTTTTTTTTTTTAAGAGATGGGGTCTTGCTATTTTGTGCAGGCTGGATTTGAACTCCTGGGCTCAAGCAATCCTCTTGCCTCAGGCTTTTGAGTAGCTGGGATTGCAAGCATACATCACTGCGCTCATCTTTACCTCCTTATCATTAGGAAATGTTCTTCTGTATAGATGGCAGCAATATTTGTTTTGACATCTACTTCATCTGATATTAATATAAGTACTCCACCTTTCTTTTGCTTTTGTGTAATATATCTTTTCCCATCATTATACCTTTAACCTATGCCAATTATATTTAAGTGGATATTCTTTTAGACAGCATATAGTCAATTCTTGTTTTTCTGTTATTCATTAGAAAATACGACTTAATGTAATGGGTAGCCCGTTTTCATTTAATGTACTTAATGACATACTTGGGTTTAAATATACAATCTTGCTGTTTGTTTTTTTTTTCTTTGTTCCTTTTTTTCTCTTTGTCTGCCTTCTTTTGGATTTGTTGAATATTTTATGGTTCCATTTTATCACTGCTATTGTCTTCTTGTATGTCTGTTTTATTGTTTGGAGGTTGTTTCTAGAGTTTGCAGTACACATGTTTAACTTAGTCTACCTTGAGTCATAACCAATTCTCATACAACAGCATATTTCTGTTTCCTCCATCTATTCTTTAGGCTATTATTTTCTTACAGTTTACTTTCACATATGTTAATAAACACCACAATACATGGTAATGGTAATTAGATTTTGCTTTAGATAATTATATTTTAAAGTGGTTGAAAATGCTACACATTAACCATTATTAGCACTCTCCATTCCTTTACATAGACTATGCTTCTACCTGCCGTCATTGTTTTCTTGATTATAAGGCTCCTTTAACTCCACTTCCACCTCCCTGGGTTTGGAAAAATTCATGGAAAAATGTGTTTGAAGGAATACAGGATTGGGAAATGAAGGAAATGGGACATTTCAGAATGGGAAAACAATGTGAGAAAAAAAAGTAGTAACAAGAGAAGTGAATGAAGATATGCTGACTGGAGGAACTGGGAATCTGTGGTGGATAGAATCTGGATGTAAACAGCGGACAGGTGGCCTGTGAATACACTGCGGCTTCTTGAAAGTCGACCTCGTATGTTTGCTTGATCCACTTAACAGAACTGTAGATGCTGAAGTAAGGAAATGACACGCAGCAACTGGATTTTTTCAAGTTTTGTTGGAATAGACTCTTATGGAGAAGAGCCTGGAAAAGGGAATCTCATTAAGAGACTACTGCAGTAATACAGTGTTAAGTGACAGAGCTCTTACTAAAGCAGAACATAGGCAACAAAGGGAAAGGAAGTGTGAATTCCATAGAAATTATCAAGAAATTGAGGACTCCTATTTTAGTCTGATAATACTGGGGAAAATACTGGGAGAAAGTTTAAGGAAGAGGATTATAGCTGGTTTTTGGTAATTAATTTCAGATAGAATTGTCTAATGGCTAGAAATATAGCACTTCTGGGAGTTAAAATGGAAATAAATATGTCTGGAAATTCAGAGTTTAATTAGAGCTGTGGAAATGATTAAGGAGGAGAGGGCTAAGGAAATGGATAGGAGAGAGGGAAGAGAAAATTTGAAAGGGAAGTCAGGAGGGAGGGAAGCAGTGAGAATGTGGAAGGTTGGGATTGAGTGCTGGAAAATATTCATGGTCAATAATGGAAGTTGGTTTGAGGACACATTTTTGCAAGGTGTATCAAGATCATTTGTGAAGCATCGTGCCAGAGTTGAAGTGGAACTTTCCTGAGTTGTGACTTTCTACTTTCTGGTTGAGATATTCAGCCTGAAGAGTTCGGTGATTGATGGCAGTTACGCAGAGGTTAATGATTGTAAGCTACTGCTTTACAAGTGAAGCAAGGCCAGAGGAGTAGAACAGATGCACCAGCGGAAGAGAGATGAAAGGCTGAAAATAGGTTTCTATTTGATACTTCCCTTATCACACTCAAATAATGGCCCACTTTTAAACTTGGGGTCAAAGAAAGATGTGTTCCAAATACCTGCTAGACATTCTGATGGCTAAGCCTTACAATTAGTGTCTTCTTTTGGTCATGAGGCATTGTACTTAGGATATAAAAACACAAACAGCTGTCAAAACCAGTGTTATTTCTGGCATAAAATGTATACAGTTAAAGCTTTAAAAGCCTTCAAATTGGGTTAGGAAATATAACTAGATGTTCCTTACAAAAAATCTCACCTAGAATAAAATTACACAGCAAACTGGAAAAAATAAGAATGAGGAAAAGCTTAATCATCAAATGACACAAAAAGTAAACAGAGGCAACAATAATAATTTGAGGCTAAGTAGATTTCAGATATTAAACGTGATAAGTAGATCATGTGTAGCATAAATGAGAAACATATTTATTTGCACCAAATAACAGCATCTATATGCACAAAACAAACACTATTAAAAATGCAAGAATTAACTCAAGATGGATTGGAGACATAAATGTAAGACCTGAAACCATAAAAAATTCTAGAAGAAAACCTATGAAAAATTCTTCCGGAGATTGACCTAGGCAAAGAATGTGTGACTTAAGTCCCCAAAAGCAAATACAGTAAAAACAAAAATAAATAAATGGGGCTTAATTAAACTCACAAGCTTCTGCACAGCAAAAGAAATCATCAACAAAGTAAATAGACAACTTACAGTTTGGGAGGAAATATTTGCAAACTTTACTTCTGAAAAAGGGCTAATACCCAGAATCTTATAAAGAACTCAAATCAGCAAGAAAAAATTCAAATAATTCCATTAAAAAGTGGGCAAGCAACATGAATACACATTTCTCGAAAGAAAATATGTGCAAATGGCCAACAAACATGGGAAAAAATGTTCAACATCACAAATCATCAGGAAACTACCAAATAAAACCACAGTGAGATACCATTTTACCCCAATCAGAATGGTCATTTTAAAAAAGTCAAAAAACAATAGATGTTAATGTAGATGCGGTAAAAAGGGAATGCTTACATGCTGTTGGTGGGAATGTAAATTAGTACAACCTCTGTGGAAAACAGTATGGAGATTTCTCAAAGAACTACTAGTAGATGTACCATTCGATCCAGGAATTCCACTAGTAGGTATCTACACAAAGGAAGTCATTCTATACAAAAGGATACATATACTCATATGTTTATTGCAGCACAATTCACAATTGCAAAGATAGGGAATCAACCTAAGTCCTCATCAGCCAATGAGTGGATAAAGTAAATGGGATGTGCACACAGACACACCTTGGAATATCACTAGCCATAAAAAAGAACAAAATAATGTATTCTGCAGCATATAGATGGAACTGAAGGCCATTATCCTAAGTGGGGTAACTCAGGAACAGAAAATCAAATACTGCATGTTCTCACTTAGAAGTTGGAGCTAAGCTATGGGTATGCAGAGGTCTACAGAGTAGTAGAGTGGACACTGGAGACTCAGAGTGAGGGGAGGATGGAAGAGGGAGGTGAGGGATGAAAAGTCACCTGTTGGGTACAACGTACACTATTTGGGTGATGGGTACACTAAAGCCCAGAGTTTACCATTATACAATTCATCCATGTAACCAAAAACCACTGTACCCCTAAAGCTATTGAAATTTTTAAAATATATTTTAAAATAATTTTAAAATATATTTTAAAATTATTTTAAAATTTTAAATATATTTTAAAATATATTTTAAAATTTTTAATTTTATATTTTAAAATTTATGCAAGGGAGCTGATAGAAATACACTTACTTAACATGTCTAGAGGTTTATCAGTTCATTGATATTTACAAAGATCTGGCTTTTGCTTTTGTTAGTTTTTCTCCATTGATTTTCTGTTCTCTGTTTCATTGATTTCCGCTCTAATTTTAATTATATCTTTTCTTCTCCTTACTTTGGATTTAATTTTCTCTTTTTCTAGTTTTGTAACCTGAAAGCTTAGATTATTTGTTTTCGATCTTTTCTAATTTGTGCACTCAATGCTATAAATTTTCCTCTAAGCATTATTTTAACTGTATCTCACAAATTTTGATGTTTTATTTTCATTTAGTTACAAATAGTTTTAAGTTTTATTGAATTATTTAATATGTGTGTTGTTTAGAAATGTGTTGTTTAGTCTACAGGTATTTTGGAGCTTTCCAGCTATCTTTCTGTTACTGATTTCCAGTTTAATTTCATTGTGGTCTGAGAGCATACTTTTATATGATTTTTAAAAATTTGTTAAAGGTGCATTTTATGGCCCAGAACATGGTCTGTCATGATGAATGTTCTGTGTGAGAAGAGAAGAGTTACATATTCTGCTTTTCTTGGATAAAATATTCCATAATGTTGATATTAAATCCAGTTGATTGATGGTGCTGTTTAGTTCAGTTATGTCCTTAACTGACTGGGGGGACATGTTGATGTGTCCAACTATAATAGTAGAGTCATCTGTTTCTCCTTCCAGTTCTATCAGTTTTTGCCTCACGTATTTTGATTCTGTTGCTAGACACATACACATTAAGGACTGTTATGTTTTCTTGGAGAATTGGCCCAGGTATCATTATGTAATGCCCCTCTTTATCTCTGATAGTTTTCCTTGCCCTACTTTGTCTTAAATTAATATAGCTCCTCCCACTTTCTTTAAATTACTATGAGCATGCCTATCTTTTTTCCATCCCTTTACTTTTAATCTATCAGTGTCTTTATATTTAAAGTGGGTTTCTTGTAGACCATATAGTTAGATCTTGTTTTTTTTATCTACTCTGACTGTCTCTGTCTTTTAGCTGATGTCTTTAGACCACTGACATTAAAAATGATAATTGATACAGTTGGATTTCTTACAGGTTTTTTTGTTTTTCTTTTTGTTTTTGGAAACGGAGTCTCGCTCTGTTGCCCAGGCTGGAGTGCAGTGGCACAATCTGGGCTCACTGCAAGCTCCGCCTCCCGGCTTCACACTATTCTCCTGCCTCAGCCTCCCGAGTAGCTGGGACTACAGGCGCCCACCACCACGCCCGGCTAATTTTTTGTATTTTTAGTAGAGATGGGGTTTCACCATATTAGCCAGGATGGTCTCGATCTCCTGACCTCGTGATCCGCCCACCTCAGCCTCCCAAAGTGCTGGGATTACAGGCGTGAGCCACCGCGCCCGGCCTTCTTACAGTTTTTTATCCATTGCCCTTGCTGTTTCTTTGTGTGTGTGTGTATCCCATTTTTATTCTGCCTTCTCTGGTTTAATTGAGCATTGTATAAGGCAACATTTTTCCCTCTCATAACATATTAATTGAATAAATTATGCTTTTTTAACTTTTTTTAACTGCCAGCCCTTGAGTTTGAAGTATACACTTATAACTAATTCAAGTCCTCTTTTAAATAGCACCATTCATTTCACAGATAGTACAATTGCCATAGGTACTTTGCTCTTGTGTAGAATATTCTATAAATGTCAGTGATAGAATTGGCTAATAGTGTTAAGTCTTCTGCATCTTTACTGATAGCTTAATGGCTTGCTTTTATCAGTTACTAAGAGAGAAGTGAAACCTTCAACTATAATTATGGCGTTGACTATTTCTGTTTATAGTTCTATCAGTTTTGACATTTTTTTAGTTCCATGTGTAGATGCACCCAAATTGTAGTATTGTTATATCTTTTTGGTAGTTTTACCTCTTCATTATTTTGGTTAACCAATTTATTGGTGTAAAGATTACAACGGAAATAAATGAAATCGATAATTGAAAAGCAATAGAGAATAATGACCGAAACCGAAAGTTGGTTATTTGAAAAATCAGCAAAACTGACAAAACTTTAAATGGATTGACTAAGGAGGAAAAAGAGAAAAATGAAATACTGAATCAGAAATGAAAAAAGATATTACTCCTGACTTGAGAGAAATAGAAAGGGTTATAAGATGATACTCTGAAGAAGTGTATGCCACCAAGTTGAGTAACCTAGATGAAATGGACACATTCCTGGAAATACACAAATCACCAAAATGACTTAAGAATAAATTGAAAATCCAAATAGACCCCGTAACTCTTAAAGAAATAAAATCACTAATCGCAAACCTCCCACCAAAGAAAAGCCCAGGGCCAGTTGGCTTTACTGGGGAAGTCTACCCAACACTTAAAGAAAAATTAATGCCAGTCCTTCTCAAACTCTTCCAAAAATTTGAAGAGGAGTGAACACTCTCTCACTTGCTCTATGAAGGGAGCATTATCCTGATGTCAAAACTAGAGGCATTATAAGAAAAGAAAACTACAGACCAATGTCCCTAATGAATACAGATGCAAAATTTCTTAACAATACTAGCAAACCATTCAGCAGTATAATTAAAGGATTGTACACCTTAACCAAGTAGATTTATTCCAGGAATGCAAGGATGTTCAACGTATAGAAATTAATCAGTGTAATGTCCCACATTAATAGAATGAAGGAGAAAACTTGCATGATCATTTCAACTGATGGGCAGCATTTGACAAAATTCACTCCTTTATGATAAAAACAGTAAAAAGAAAAAAAAGCTAGGAATAGAAGGAAACTGCCACAACATTATAAAGGTCATATATGAAAAATTCTTGGAAAGACTGTCCTTTAAGGGATCATTTCTATAGTTTGGAAAACCCTCAGCTCACATTATATTCAATGGTGAAAGACTGAAAGTTTTTCCCCTGAGATAAGGAAGAAAACAAAGATACCACTTTCAACATTTCTGTTAACGTGACACTGGAAGCTGTAGCCAGAGGAGTTAAATAAGAGAAATAAAAAGCAATCAAATTTGCAAGGAAGAAATAAAACTACCCCTACTAATAGGTGACATGATCTTATATGTAGAAAACCCTAAAACATACACACACACGTGCCACACTTGTGCTTAGAACTAATACATTCAGTAAAGTTGCAGGATGCAAAAGCAAGCTAGAAAATACATTGTATTTCCATATACTAGCTATCAACAATGTAAAATTGATCTTAAGAAGATCAATTTCATTTAAAATAGCATCAAAAAATGTCTTAGGAATAAATTTAACCAAGGAAGCACAAGACTTATACACTACCGACTACAAAACATTGCTGAAAGAAATAAAAGAAGACATAAATGAATGGAAAGACATCTCATGTTTATATATTGGATATTTAATTTAAGATGAGAGTACTCAAAATGATAATACAGATTCAGTGCAGTTTTTTCTTAATCTTATGGTAGAATACTATTCAAGAATAAAAAACAACTCAAATTTATAAGTATCAATATTGATAAATCTCAAAAAACAAACACAGAAAAACAAAATACTGAGGATATTTACAGAATACCGTACTACAAAAACTGAAAATGCACCATAAAAAGCATTGTATTTATGACAAAATATATATATGGGAGAAAACTATAAAAACTTGCATGCAAATGATATGAAGTAACTTCAGGACAATATTTGCTTGAATCATAGGTGATTGCCATTCTCACAGGTTAAAATGGTTGAACATTTCCAGGTGCAGTGACTCATTCCTGTGATCCCAGCATTTTGGGAGGCCAAGGTAGGAGGATTCCTTGAGCCCAGGAGTTCAAGACCAATGGCAAAACCCCACCTTTACCAAAAATAACAAAAAATTAGCCGGGCATGGTGGTGCACGACTGTAGTCTCAGCTACTCAGGAGGCTGAGGTGGGAGGATCATTTGAGCCCAGGAGATCAAGGCTGCAATGAGCTGTGATCACACTACTGCTCTCCAAGCTTGGGTGACAGAACGAGGCCTCATCTCAAAAGATAGAGAGAGGGATGGATAGATAGATAGATAGAATGGTTGAACATCAATGAGTAGGAAGAAGGTAGGTATTTAGCAGTAACTATTTTACATCTGAAAAAAACAGATGTTTGAAAATACATATAGTACAATGTTAACATCCATTAGATTTGGTTATCTTATTTTCTACTCTTAATGCTTAAACTAGTTCTTTTTTTATTTTCAATTCAAGTGTAAGTTAAAAGAAATAGAACACCAAGCTTAGGCTACTCAAGAAAATTGAAGAGTAGTAATGACCCCTTTGTCATTTCTGATTGTGTTTATTTGGATCATCTCTCTTTTTCAGTTATTCTAGCTAGCAGTCTATTTTGTTAATTCTTTCAAAAAACCAACTCCTGGATTTGTTCATCTTTTGTACTTTTTCTGCATTTCAATTTCCTTCAATTCCGCTCTGATTTTGGTTATTTCTTGCCTTCTGCTAGCTTTGGGGTTGCTTTGCTCTTGTTTCTCTAGCTCTTCTAGTTGTGATGTTACATTGTTAATTTGAGATCTTTCTAACTTTTTATGTGGGCGTTTAGTGCTATAAACTTCCTTCTTAACACTGCCTTAGCTGTGTCCCAGAGATTCTGGTATGTTGTATCTTTGTTCTCATTTGTTTCAAAGAATTTCTTGGTTTCTACCTTAATTTCATTATTTACCTAAAAGTAATTCAGGAACACGTTGTTTAATGTCCATGTAATTATATGGTTTTGAGAGAGTTTCTTAGTATTGATTTCTGTTTTTATTGTGCTGTGGTCTGAGAGTGTGGTTGGTATGATTTCAGGTTTTTAAAAATTTGCTGAAGTTAAACCATCCATGTTTGCAGACAGTATGGTTCTATATACCTAAACAACCCGATTTTCTCTGCCCAAAAGCTCTACAATCCAATAAACAACCTAACAAAAATTGACAAATTAACATAAGCAATATCTCAGGATACAAAATCAATGTACAAAAATCAGGATTCCTATGCAACAACAACATCTAAGCTGAGAGCAAAATCAAGAATGCAATCCTATTCACAATAGCCACAAAAAGAATAAAATACCTAGGAATACAGCTAACCAGGGAAGTGAAAGATCTTTACAATGAGAACTACATAACACTGGTCAGAGAAATCAGAGATGACACAAACAAATGGAAAAACATTCCATGCTCATGGTTGGGAAGAATCAATATTGTTGAAATGGCCATACTGCCCACAGCAGTTTACAGATTCAGTGCTATTCTTATTCAAACTACCAAGGACAGTCTTCACAAAATTAGAAAAAAAAACCAAACTATTTTTAAATCCATGTGGACCCGAAAAAGAACCCGAATAGCCAAGGCAATACTAAGCAAAAAGAACAAAGCCAGAGACATTACATTACGCAACTTTGAACTATACTGCAGGCTATAGTAACCAAAACAGCATGGTAATGGTACAAAAACAGACACATAGACCAATGGGACAGAATAAATAGCCCAGAAATGTCACACAGTTACAGACATCTGATCTCTGACAAAGTCAACAGTAAGAAGCAATAGGGAAAGGACTCCCTCTTCAATAAATGATATTGCGATAACTGGCTAGCCATATGCAGAGAAGGTGGAAACTGGACCCCTTTCTTACACCATATACAAAAATCAACTCGAGATAGATTAAAGACTTAAATGTAAAACCTAAAATTATAAAAAATGCCATATAAGATAACCTAGGAAATACCATTCTGGACATAGACCTTGGCAAAGACTTCATGACAAAGACTCCAAAAGCCATTGCAACAAAAACAAAACTTGACCTAATTAAAGAGCTTCTGCACAGCAAAAGAGACTATCAGCAGAGTAAACAGACCTCTGCAGAATGGGAGAAAATATTTGCAAACTATGCATCTGACAAAGGTCTAATATTCAGAATCTATAAGGAATTTAAACAAATTTACAAAAAAAAAAAAAAAAGCTCCATTACAAAGTGGGCAAGGGACATGGACAGACACTTCCCAAAAGAAGACATACATGTGGCCAACAGGCATATGAAAAAATGCCTAACATCACTAATCATTAGAGAAATGTAAATTAAAACCACTGTGAGATACCATCTCACACCAGTCAGAATGGCCCTCATTACAAAGTCAAAAAATAACAGATGCTAGCAAGATTGTGAGAAATGGGAACACTTATACACTGCTGGTGCAAATGCAAATTAGCTCATCCACTGTGGAAAGCAGTTTGGCAATATCTCAACTCAAAGCAGAATTACCATTTGACTCAGCAGTCCCATTATTGGAATGTAAATTCTTCTGCCATAAAGACACATGCACACATATGTTCATTACAACACTGTTCATAATAGCAAAGACATGGGATCAACCTAAATGCCCATCAATTACAGATTGGATAAAGAATGTAGTACAGATACACCATGGAATACTATGCAGTCATCAAAAAGAACAAGATCATGTCCTTTGCAGCAAAATGGATGGAGCTGGAGGCCATAAGCCTAAGCAAACTAACACAGGAACAGAAAACAAAATCCCGCATATTCTCACTTACAAGTGGGAGCTAAACATTGAGTACGTATCAACACAAAGAGAGGAAGAGCAGACACCAAGGCCTACTTGAGGGTGGAGGGCAGGAGGAAGGTGAAGATCAAAAAACGACCTACCAGGTACTGTGCTTATTATCTGGGTGATGGAATGACATGTACACCAAACCCCCCCATGATATGCAGTTTTCCTATATAACAAACCTACGTGTGTGCCACTCAACCTAAAATTTAAAAAATAGAGAAAATTGAAGAGTTAAGAAAGGAGCAGTAGCTAAAGGGAGCATGTAGAATGGGTGATATTTATTTCATACACTCAGGAATGATCCAAAAGGGAGTGTGAAATTGGAGCTACATAGAAACAAGTAATATTTAAGATAAAAACATACAGATAGTAAGATGTAAAGTGAGTAAATACAGAAAAAAATGTAAGATCTCTGAAGCATAGCTAACCTATAGAAAGGAGGTGGGATACCCTTGTAGTGACATCAATTGGAAAGAAGTAAGACGCCCACCAGAGCAGATGTGTTTATAAGCATTTAGGCAGAAAGTTATGGTATTTAGGCAGAAAGTTATGGTAGTTTCTGACTGAAGGCCTCAAATTCTCTCTCTCTCTCTCTCTCTCTGTGTGTGTGTGTGTGTGTGTGTGTGTGTGTGTGTGTGTGTGTGTGTGTGTGTGTGTGTGTGTGTGTTTTAAGAGATGGAGTCTTGCTGTAATGCCCAGGTTGGAGTGCAGTGGCACGATCACAGCTCGCTGCAGCCTCGAATTCCTGGCCTTAAGGGATCCTCCCGAATAGCTGGGCCTACAGGTATAAGTCCCACCATCTTTATGGCAGAAGTTCTGCCTTCTTATTAAGAGTGAGAAGAATGTTTTATGGTTGATATTAGAAGTTTTAAGACAGTGACTGTCACATGTAGGGATAGGCTCAGAGGGAGCTAGAGAGAAACCCAAGTAGGGACCTATAAAGAGGTACCGATTGCTGGAGGGCCCAGCTGAGGTTGAAAATCCCAAAGCCCAATTTTATGCTGACTGCTAAAGCCTTGTTCCTCGAAAGAAAAAATTATAATGATTATAAAACATAATTATATAAGTATTATATAAAGCACAACTTAGAAAAGATTTAAGAGGTATTCTAGGAAGATTGATTTAGAATGTTTGGATTATTTTGAAATGGATCTTAATACTTATTGCATTCCTACTTATCTTTCAGAGATTTCCTTCAGAAAAGAAGAAAAAATCTTGCCTCTAGAGAGTAATTTAGGTACTTTATAGTTTATTTTGGTCACTTGGTTGATACTCATTTCAATAGGATGGCAACTGATTACATAAGTAATATTTTTATCTATCATGTGCAAGGCACAGAGAGGCCTCAATGAAATAATGTCTCCTCTGAAAGGGCCTAAGTGAATCTTCCAGACCTTACTATATTAATTTTAAGTGTTTCGGTTTATTCATTAAACATCTGTGTTTCTGTTTGAAGATTAATCTTCATATCTGTCCCAGATTCTAAGTTAGGACTCTTAGTATTTATTATTTTCTTACGTATTTGCTGTTTCCAGTGTTATTCTTTTGTTAATTTTTTATTGAGATAATTCACCCTTTAAAGTATACACTTCCATGGTTTTTAGGGTCTTGACAGACTTATGCAACCATCACCGCTGTCTAATTTGAGAACACTTTCATTTCTTCATTTTTTTTTCTTAAAGATCCATGTTTTCGTCTGGAATAATTCCTGTTCAGTCTAAATTTTTTTTTTTTTTTTTTTTTTTTTTTTTTTTTTTTAACCATTTTTTGTAGTGCAGCTGGCAAAAAATTTGTTTTCTTTTATGGGATGATGTCTTTATTTTGCCTTCATTCTTAAAGGATATTTTTACTGAATATAAAATTGTGGGTTGATAGTTTAGTGAGTACATATTTAAATATTTCTTCCTTGCAAGTCATGTGGTATATTTCACTGGCTGTTTTCAAGATATTTTTGTTTGTGTGATGGCTTTGTAATATGTCAGTTGACTAGACTGAGCCACCTTTCCCAGGATTCCTTTTGCTATTTAAGATTCTCGTGGGAGATTTGGAGGATAGACGTGACGGAACAGCCATTTTGTAGCTCATTCATGTTGTCTGCTAGACCATCTTATTGGTACGTGGCAGTGGTCAGGCCTGCATCAGCTCCACCTCCTCCTGCATCCTGTTAGCCCTTGAGCCTACTTCTGGGCTGGAGTGTGTGTTTAGCTCCATGATGAAAGTCCCAGCTTTTGCAGGATATCCACACCAGCAAGGTCAGGCGGTACGAATTAACACGGGTTTCAGTCTATCCTCCTGGGCTCCAGCTTGTGCTTCTAGATTCCATTTCATCTTTCCTCTCCTGGCTTTGCTTGCATCTTCGCTTCTCAACTTACTGTCCTATGGACATGAAGCCTCAGCAGTGAACTTGGAGACAACAGCCTTACAGAGACAACATAACTAGCTCCCACAATCAGGGAAATTCAGTTACCTGTAATCTCTTTACACACACACAGAGTAGTTCTGCTTCTCTCATGGAACCGTGACAGACTCTGGTTTTAAGCCTTTTGACTATAATGTGTTTAGGTGAGGTTTTCTATTTATTCTGCTTGGAGTTGCCTGAGCTTTTTGAATCTCTTGCATATCCTTCTTTAACTTTGGAAAACTTTTAGCCATTATTTCTTGAAATATATTTTCTGTCTTATTATCTATCTCTCCTCCTCCCCCTCCCTCCCTCCCTCCCTCCCTCTCCCTCTCTCTTTCTTTCTTTCTTTCTTTCTTTCTTTCTTTCTTACTTTTGGAAGTTGTCCAACAGGTATGAAGTTCTGCTTGTTTTTTCACATTGTTTTCCTGTGCTATTCAAATTGGATAATAATCTCTGCTGGTATATCAAGTTTACTGACTCTTACATAATCTCCAATGTGCTCCAAGCCCATAGAGAGAATTTCTTATTTCAGATATTTTATTTTTTTTTATTTTAGGTTTTTCCATTTGGTCCTTTTCCTAATAGTTTCTGTGTCTCTGCTGAGATTTTCAACTTTTTTACTCATGAACATATTTTACTTTACGTCATTGAAGATAATTATAAAGTTGCTTTAAAGTCTTTGTCTACTAATTTCAACATGAGATCATCAGAGCATCAGTTTCCTTTGATGTCTTTTTCTAGTGTATGGGTTCTGTTTCCTTTGTTTTTTTAATGCTGAGTCATTTTGGAATATATCCTGGGCATTGTGACTGGTATTTTGTGCCTCTGAATTCGGTTAGGTTGCAGCAAAGAATACTGAATTTTTTATTTTCTTAGGCCAGTCATCATGGATGAACTCAAACTGCAAACGCTTTCTTTTTTCCAGTGGGTTAAGATTCCAGGCTGGTTTATTTAGACTTCACTAGGAGGCTTGGAGCCTGCCCTGTGCATGTGTGGTTCAAGAGTCAGAGATCTGGGCAGACTTTATACTGAGATTTTAGGGCTTCTTCTCTTTGGCTGCCTCTTTTCTGGAATTTCACCTCCTTCACTTAAAAGCTGCTGTACTTGTTCAAGCTCTGTCCTCTGATTGTTCATGGCAGTAGAACTGTGGGTTTCTAATTTAAGATTTTTACCCTAAATGGCATAAGCTGGGGCCCACCTTCAGGCAAAAAGCCGTAAAAATGAGAAATTCATTTGGTGCCATTCCTTATTCCTAGTGCCCACCTCCTCTTTAGTACCTGCCTGTTTTTAGTTGCTTCCCAGAACCTTTAGATTGTTTTCATGTCTTTCTCCTGAGGTTACAGTTATATGGAGGAGGGTTAATCCAATCGGAGCTGCTTGACCATGATTGTAAGTGAAACTGAGTATTTGTTCTTAATTATGCATTATTGCATGCCAGATGTACACCTTTTCTTCATGTGGCACAGCAGTGTTTTGTATTCATGCAAGGAAGTATCTCACAGATTCACGTTTGTGCAACCTTCTAAAGAGCTTGTGTGAGAGAGCTTATTTAAACAGTGTGAATTACCAGTGAATGTTATGGTTAGTTCAGTGCAGCCAAAACATAATTCATGGCTGTTCCCCTTCTCTTTTGTCCCAATTCTCAGTAACAAATTCAGACCTCTTTTTAGAGAACGTGTAATTTCATTACCTTTTGACAATGCCTTTTAGACTTCACTAGGGAGCTTGGAGGCTTCCCTGTGCATGCATGGTTCAGGAGTCAGCAGAGGCTGGTGCCTGGTATGTATGGTTCAGGAGTCAGCAGAGGCTGGTGCTTGGTGTTTGGCACCAGTGGCCAAAACACCAAAGAACCTCCTGTGAATATTTTCTTGTCTTTACTCACCAAATATTTAGTGCTTTTCTGTAAGTCATGCACAACATAATGATGCTTCAGTCAACACACCGCATATACCACAGTGGTTCCATAAGATTATAATAGCGTATTTCTACTGTACTTTTTCTACATTTAGATACACAAATACTTACCATTGTGTTGCAGTTGCCTACCGTATTCAGCACTGTAACGTGTACAGGGCTGTAGCCTAGGGCAGTAGGCCATCCCATATGGCCTAGGTGTGTTGTAGGTTACACCATCTAGGCTTGTATGTAAGTACTCTCCATGATGTTTGACAATGACACAATCAACTAACATGCATTTCTCAGAAGAGACCCCTGTCATTAAGTGACACATGACTGTAGTTTATGGTAAGTATTGTGCCAACAGCTAGCCTTGCAGAGATAGCTAAGATAAAGTCCCTGTCTTCAAACGGTTGCTTACAGTTTAGTAGAAGAGACAGATAAATAAGCAGGCGATTTACATTTTCATGTGATGCGGGTTGTGTTTCAGAGGTGGTAGAAGTATTTCAGAGGTTGCCTGACCCAGATTTTAAGAGTAAAGGACCTGTTATAGAAGCTGCAGTTAGGATTGGATTAAAATTAATTGGGTGGTGGTTGATATTGTGATGCTTTAGTATGACTTTAGTATGAATATTTAGGGGCTCAGTGTTTTCTTCATCTTAAAATGAGGGGATTGGACTAGATCTATAAGATTATTTTCAATGTGAATATTTTGTCAGTTTAAAGACACATTGAAGAGATGCTCAAAAAACATACTTCTTTTTTCTTTTTAGGGAATAGAGTATTTCAGATCATTTAAAGTCCTGTTTGAGAGTTTACCAGGCTAACAGGAAGTACTACTTGTGATTTCTTTGCCTGTTCCTGTTCTGATGTTTAGCTGCCCAGTACAAACCTGCAAGGGGAGCCTTGGATATCCAATTGGTTTCTGAAAGGTGTGTGTGTGTGTGTGTGTGTGTGTGTGTGTGTGTGTGTGTGTGTGTTCGTCCTTTTTGGAGCCAGAGCTTCAAAACATAGCTTGCATCTTCTGTGTCCTTCATAAAATTCCAGTTGGTTTCCTGCATTCACTTAATTAGTACAGCACCTGGGCATAGTAGCTCTGGATAAATACAGGTTCTTTTCTCCAATAGCTTCCTTGCAGAACATAGAAATTGCTGCCTGCCCCTATGCCTCAAATTGACCTTCTACCTCTTCCTCCTCAGCTTTTAAAGCCCCTATCTTTCCTTCTCACCACAAGTTCATCCCCCAACCCAAATGTTCCCTATCACTGGGTCTCTCCAGCATTCATCTGGTGTGGTATTAAGAGAGTGGCTGTGGCTGTCAGTGCTAGAACCTGGACAGAGAGAGAGAGAGGGTCTTGGTCACGTCATCTTTACAGAAATATAATAGGAATTTCTCTATAAAAATAATAGATACTTGTTAGAAGCTTTAATGTTATATTTTTTATTTATTTCTGGTTTAATAGACCTTAATGTTACTGCCTAGTAACCTACCTACATTATATAGCCTTTCTGTGTATGTGTGTGTATCTATTGAAACAGGTCCCAAGTTTTTTCCAGTTTATATGTAGGCTGCATTTTTCTTTTCTTTTCTTTTTTAAATTTTTGAGCCAGGGTCTCTCTCTGTCACCCAGGGGAGTGCAGTGGCGCAATCACAGCTCACTTCACCCTCAACCTTCCACCTCAGCCTCTCAAGTAGCTGGGATCACAGGCACATGCTACCATACCTGGGTAATTTTTAAATTTTTTTGTAGAGATGGAGTCTCTCTATGTTACTCAGGCTAGTCTTGAACTCCTGGCCTCAAGTGATCTGCCCAACTTGGCCTCCTACATTGTTGGAATTATAGGCGTGAGCCACTGTGCCCAGCCTTACATATATAGGCTTTTATAACAAAATTAGCTTGTAAGTTGGAAATTGCCTTTATGTCATTTCTCCCCAGTCTGCATACTTATTCAACTTTTGCTCATGTTCTTGAATATTTCTAAGAGAAATAGTGATTAATGGCTGCCACACTGCTGATGTTGGACAGAGCCTATAAAATCAGCTGAAGAAGGGAGAAAGTAGATTGTTTCACTAGGCTCTTAGTGAAGTTCTGATAGTTATAATAAATGCAACTTGTCCTTTAACACTACTAGGTGCAAAATCTTTTTGTTACCCTCTCATGCCTTTTAAAAAGGCTCCCAGTGTTTCACTAATGAGAGCCCTTTTGTTGTAATTTATAGGTGAATCCTCTCCAGGTATAACTGAGATCTTCAAATAATGTATCGTATCTATGGATGTTTGTGAATAACATCACCTGGGCATAAACCTACAGTCAATAGGATGAGTGCTTATGAAGTTATTTTTGAATGAGAAAATTTATCACAGAAAAGAAAATACAAGTTCCAGTTTCTGGGGATTACTTTTTAAAGTAATGCAAATCATCCATATCATGTGTTAACAAACCCCTCAGAATTCCAACAAGGAAAGCAGATGTATTAATTAAACATTTAATGTCTTTTATAGTTAAAGTACTCATTTTGGCAGGTCTAATATTACGATACAATAGTGGTATATTAATTTGTTATATACCTTGGGCCCCTTGGTACATTTTATGTAGGCACAAGATTAACAGCATGAACTTCAATTATTACTGTGTAGTTTTGTAAAAATGAAATATAATTATTTTAGTTTCTAGTTTTATGTCAAGAAGAATTCATTGGTATGGCACAGCTTAGCATACAAAGTAACTAAATAATGTATGCCACATACCCATTAGTTTTGTTAGAAATAAATCCTCTTTTATACTCCTGCTTTTCCAGTACATGCACACCTACATATACACAAAGCGTGAAGCCAGTATTTAGTAGAGATTAAATAAACCAGAATCTCCACCTATGATTGACTACTTTCTCATGTTGTTTCAGAGAAGTGAAAATTATAGCACCAGATTACTGTCTCTGGGAAATCTAAACATGCAATAGTGTTGGCAATTCTTTACTGCAAACATCTATGTTCACTGGATTTTGGACCCTATATGCCAACACAAAGTGGTGGAAATAACCACAGTTGTTAAGGCAATTAAGATACCACAATCACTGTCCACATCAGCTGTCCCAGAAAGTTTCAAGTTCTCCAGTCTATTTCTTAAGCCCCTGGAAGGAACAATAGAAGAAAGAATATAGATATCTGATAGTAGCACGTGACTTGTTACTAAAAAAGGTCTGTGGAATCTCTTACCTTCAGAGACCTTGGTGTTCATGCATACACTCATGGAATCATTCCAGCCATACCAGAAATACCAAATGTGACTTACTCTAACAACCTTCAGAAAATTATCTCTTTGTTCTTTCATTGACACTTTTAGGAAGATAGTAAATGGTAGAGTGATTTCATAGCATTTAAAATTTGATAAAAGATCAGTGTGGAAAGAATTTAGGGAGCTTCAACGTTGCTGTCACCATACGGACTTGAAGTTGCATATTTTCAGTGAGATGAAATTGATGTCTTGAACCCAGAAACTTTATCCTCTTGTTTAAGATCACTGAATACTACATTTTCTGAAAGCAAATTGGTTTTCAAATAAAGATTTGTTTCAAGTTTAGTGCATTTGTCAGAAAAATATGTTGTTTGCAGTTAATGACACTATAGCTGTTCATTGAGTTGATCCATAAAAGTAGCTGAGATTTACAGAAATATATATGACTATCTTTTCTAAATGGGAATTTACATTCAGTCAGTTGACAGAAATGTTTTGAGAGATGTGGTTAGAGGAAAAGAAGAGATGAAGATACTGGTTTAAAGCTGAAATAGGAAATTAATGTATTTATGTGCTAGGGCTGCTGTAACAAAATACCACAGACTGGGTGGTTTAAACAACAGAAATTCATTTTCTCATATTTCTGGCGAAAGTCCAAGATCAAGGTGCAGGCAGGGTTAGTTTCTTCTGAGGTGTCTGTCCGTGGCTTGCAGATGGCCGTCTTTTCCCTGTGTCTTCATATGGTTTTTCCTTAGTGTGTCTACTTGGGTGTCCAAATTTCCTCTTCTTGTAAAGATACCAGACTGAGTTAAGACATATCCTGATATCTCATTTTAATGCAGTTACTTTTTTAAAGACCTTATCTCCAAATAGAGTCACATTCTGAGGTACTTGGGGTTAGGGTTTAAACATACTAATTTTGGAGGGACACATTTCAACCTATAATAATACAATATTTGAAATTTGTTCAGCTGTTGTTTAAAGTAAATATGAGGGGACTTCAAAAAGTTCATGGAAAATGGTATTAAAAGATAAAAACAGAAAATATAAACTTTATTTCTCAACATAAGCTCCGTCAAGTTCAAGACACTTTTGTAAGCCATGATACCAGCTAGTTAGTTCATCCCTAAAGAGCTGAACATCCTGGTAATTTACCTATATCAGTGCAGTCTTTTTTTTACATTATTAAGTGAAGAAAAACTAATACTCTTTAAAAGCTTTTTTAAGTTTAGGGGAAAAATAAGTCAGAAGGAGCCAAATCAGGACTGTAAGGTGGATGCCTAATGATTTCTCATGAAAGCTCTCATGAAATACCCCTGTTTAATGAGAGGGATTTAGCAGGAGCATTATCTTGGTGGAGGAGGACTCTCTGGTGAAGCTTTCCCAGAAGTTTTTCTGCCAAAGCTTTGGCCAACTTTCTCCAAGTGCTTATAATCAGGTGTTATCATTCTCCTGCCCTCCAGAAAGTCAATAAGCAAAATGCCTTGAGCACCCAAAAAACTGTTGCCATGACCTTTGCCCTTGACCTGTCCAATATTGCTTTGACTGGACCATTTCCACTTCTTCATACCCATTGCTTTATCTTCAGGATTATACTAATAGAACCATGTTTCATCTCCTGTTACAATTCTTCAAAGAAATGCTTCAGGATCTTTATTCCACTTGTTTAAAATTTCCATTGAAAGTTCTGCTCTTGTCTGCAGCCGATCTGGGTGCAATGGTTTTGGCACCCATCAAGTGGAAAGTTTGCTCAACTTAAATTTTTCAGTCAGAATTCTGTAAGCTGAACCAGATGAGATGTCTATGGTGTTGGCTGTTGTTTCTGCTGTTAATCATTGGTCCTTTTGAATTAGGGCACAAACAAGATTAATTTTTTCCCTTGCAAATTGATGTGGATGGTCTGTCGCTGCTGGCTTCGTCTTCCACATTGTCTCATCCCTTCTTAAAATAAGTTATCCATTTTTAGACTGCTGATTTATTTGGGGCATACTTCCCATAACTTTTCATAAAGCATCAGTGATTTAATCATTCTTCCACCCAAGCTTCACCATGAATTTCATGTTTGTTCTTGCTTCAATTTTAGAATTCATGTTGCTCTTACAGGGGCTCTGTCCAAACTGATGTCTTATCCTTCTTAGTCCCTCAAACTTGATCCTGTACAGTCATGTTATAACAAATCAGTATGAGTTAATTTTGGTGCAGAAATTTTTTGAAATCTGTGCATGGTTTTTTCATAATACACATTTTCCATAAAGTTTATGAAGACTACTCAAGAATATTATATATTCTAGAAATTTGTAATGAAATCTGAAGTTGGGGCATTCTGATGATTTTTGTGGGACTGCTTCTGTTCAAGTACTGTGGCAGTTTTTTTTTGTTGTTTGACGAGGTCTTGCTCTGTCACCCAGGCTGGAGTGCAATGGCATGATCTCGGCTCACTGCAACCTCCACCTCCCAGGTTCAAGTGATTCTTCTGCCTCAGCCTCCCAAGTAGCTGGGACTACAGGCATGTGCCACTACACCCAACTAAATTTTGTATTTTTAGTAGAGATGGGGTTTCACCATGTTGGCCAGTCTGGTCTCAAACTCCTGATCTGCCTGCCTCAGACTCCCAAAGTGCTGGGATTACAGGCATGAGCCACTGCACCCAGCCATACTGAGGCAATTTTTTACAAGCCCTACCCGACAATGTTCCCCATATACATAATGTAGGGTCTTTGCTTCCCTACAAATGTTTATATTCCACTGAGTTGTCTTCACCTTCAGGGACAGGGGAAGTGGAAGGGGGAATAATGCTTCCTAGAATGAATATCTTGACTAATGTATAGAGAAACAATCAAAAGCAAAAGTAGTTTTCATTCAAAGCCTTCACATTGTAAATGCTACAGTAAAAAGACCTTGAGATCAAGAAACCTAGGTTTTTGCCGCTCCAGTTCTTATTCGTATAATTTTTGGCAAGCCATTTAACCAGTGTCAGCTTTAATTTCCTGATCTCTAAAAAGGTACACTACATGCTCACTGACGTCTTACTCAGCTGCAAGACTGAATGATTGATTCATTTATTCCGCAAATATTGTTGAATGCTACTATGTGGCAAGGACTGTTTTAGGAGTTGGGAATATCACATTAGTGCAACACAAAGTTCCAGAGGAGACAAGTGGGAAACAAATAGCAAGATGGTAAATTTAATCTTACTCGTATCAATAATCACATTAAATGTAAATGTTCTAAACACCACAATTGAAAGACAGAGATTAGACTTGGTAAAAAGCAAGAACTACCTATATGCTGCTTATAAGAAACCAACTTTAAATGTAAGATATAAGTAGATTAAAATTAATAGAACAGAAAATTATATACTATGCTCAACCTAATCAGAAGAAAACTAGAGTGCTATATTAAATCATATGAAGTAGATTTCAAAGCAAGTAATATTGCTGGAGATAAGGAGGAACATTTCATAATAATTAAGGGAGTCATTTCATCAAGAAGTATTAACCGTCTTAGTTATGCATCTAATAACAAAACAAAATATTTGAAGCAAAAACTAATATAAGGAAAAATAGACACATTTACAGTTACTATTGGACAGTTCAATATCCATCTTCAAATAATTGATACAGCAATTGGAGAGAAATTGGTAAGGTTATATAGCAACTTGGGCAATACTATCAGTCAGCTTGATCTAACTGACATTTATGGAACACGCTACCCAACAGCATAAGAACACTTATTTTTCTCAAGGTCACAGATCATTTATCACAGTGTACCATATGTTGAGCAAAACAACTCCATGAATTTTAAAGGATTTAAGTACTGTAAAACATTTTCTCTTTGAAGGAAATGAAATTAAAAAAACACAGATCTATGGAAAATCCCCAAGTTCTTGGAAACTAAATATTAATCCATGGATCAAAGAAGAAATCAAAGGGAAATGAGAAAGTATTTTGAATGGACTGAAAACGAAAACACAATGTGTTTAGCTGTGATATACAGCTAAAGCAATACTTAAATTTATAGTACTAAATACAATTTATAGTACTAAAAGATATTTTTAAACATTAGAAAAGAAGAAAAGTGTAAAATTAATGACCTTAGCTTCTATCTTAAGAAACTAGGACTGGGCACAGTAGCTCACAACTATAATCTCAGTACTTTTGAAGGCCAAGGTAGAGGAGTTCGAGACTAGTCTGCACAACATAGTGAGATCCCATCTCTAAATAACAAAATATTAGCTGGGCATACTGGTGTGCACCTGTGGTCATAGCTGCTCAGGAGGCTGAGGCAGGAGGATTGCTCAAGGAGGCTGAGGCAGGAGGATTGCTTCAGGAGGCTGAGGCAGGAGGATTGCTCGAGGCCAGGAGTTTTGAGGCTTCAGTGAACTATGATCACATCCCTGCACTCTAGCCTGGGTGACAGAGCCAGATTTTGTCTCTAAAAAACAAGAAAAAGAAAAAGGAATTAGAAAAATAAGAACAAGTTAAACACAGTGTAAGCAGAACAAAGGAAATAAAGATTGGGATAGCAATCAATGAAATAGAAAACAAAAAATCATAGAGAAAATTGATGAAAGGAAAACTGGGCTTTTGAGAAGATCATTAAAATTGATGTATTTCTCACCTGACTGAAAAGAAAAGTGAGAAGACAAATAATAAATGTTGACACTGCTACAGATTCTATTGGTATTAAGTGGATAATATGGAAGCATTATGTATAACTTTATGCCAATAAATTCAACTATTTAGCTGAAATGGACACATATGTTGAAAGATACAAATTACCAAGAAGAAATAGATGTCATGAATAGCCTTGTACCTGCTAAAGAAATTATAGTTGTGGTTAAGATCCTTCTGACAAAGACACCAGACCCACATATTTTCACCAACGAAGTCTACCAAACATTTAAGGAATATTATCAGTTCTATACAAATTATTCCAGAAAATTGAAGATGAGAGAACATTTCTCAGTTCATTCTGTGAGGCAGGTATTAACTTGATATCAATATGCAAGAGATTTTTTTTTTTTTTTGAGATGGAGTCTTGCTCCGTCGCCCAGGCTGGAGTGCAGTGACGCGATCTCAGCTCATGGCAAGCTCCGCCTCCCGGGTTCATGCCATTCTCCCGAGTAGCTGGGACTACAGGCACCTGCCACCACAGCCGGCTAATTTTTGGTATTTTTAGTAGAGACGGGGGTTTCCCATGTTAGCCAGGATGGTCTTGATCTCCTGACCTGGTGATCTGCCTGCCTCGGCCTCCCAAAGTGCTGGGATTACAGGCATGAGCCACCACACCTGGCCCGCAAAGAGATTTTTAAAAGAATGCTATAGACCAATATTCTTAATGAATATATATGCTAAAATGTTTAATTTAATTTTAGCAAATCAAATCTAACAATAGATACAAAGAATCACTACCAGTGTGGTCTGTTCTAGGAATATAAGATTGATTTAACATTCAAAACCAATCACTATAGTTCACCTATTAACAGAGTACGAAGGAAATGATTATATCAAATGATGCAAAGAAAAAACTAAGAAAAATCCATCCTTTTTAAAACTTATTTAAACAAAAAATGAAACGCTCTGAGTGAATTAGGAATTGGGTTTTTTTTTTTTTTAACATGGTAAAGGAAAACAATTTGACAGTTTCTGGAAAAGTCAAATGTATACCTACCATACGGCCCAGCCATTCCACTCCTTAGTATTTGTCCTAAATAAATTAAATCATATGTCTACACAAAGACGTGGACATAAAAGTTAATAGCAATTTTGTTTGTAATTGCCCCAAACTGGGAGCAGGCCCTGTGTTCATTGACAGATGAGTGTGTCCATTGTGATACATCTATGTACTGAAATATTACCCAGCAAAGTGAGTAAACTATTGATACATGTGGTGACATGGATGAATATCAAAGTAATAATGCTAAATGAACAAGCCAGATAAAGAGTACATACTCTATGATCCATTTGCATAAAATTCTTTAAAATACAAGCAAATCAGTCATGGCAGAAAGTATGTCAGTCATGGCCTGCAGGGGATGGGAGGATGGAAGTACACATGGGCACAAGAAGACATTTGAAGTGGTAGATGTTTTCATCATCTTGATTTTGGTGACAGTTTCATGGGTATATACATATGTCAAAACGTATCAGTTGCATGTTTTTTGTTTGTTTTTTTGAGAGGGTTTTACTCGTTCGCCCCGGCCGGGTTGGAATGCAATAGCATAATCTTGGCTCACAGCAACCTCTGCCTTCTGGGCTGAAGTGATCCTTCCACGTCAGCCTCCCAAGTAGCTGGGACTACAGGCGCCCGCTGCCACACCCAGCCCAAGTTGTATATTCTTAATGTGTGCTGTTTAGTGTATGTTAATTACGCATCAATAAACTTTTTTTTAAAGTCCTTGCCCTCGTGGAACTTATATTTTATTGGTGATGAACATTGACAGTAACAAATACATGTATATCATATGTGTGCATGTATACGTGCCTGTGTATCAGATGTCGCAAAGTCTTGAAGAAAAAGCAATGTGAAGATAGAAAGTGAGGGGGAGGATAGCTGTTTAATGTAAGAAGGCGGTCAGGAAAGTCCTCAGTACACGTGGCATTTGAAACAGAGACTATTTTAAGCTCCCCTATAATCTTTTGAAAACTGTGTTAAGATAGGTTTCAGTTTGTTAAAGTTACAGGTCATCATTCTCTCATCTAAAAGGACAAGTTTCCCCTAACTTGAAGGCAAATTTAAATTTTTGACATCACAAAGAACCAGATGAAAAGGATGGGGCAGAGGTGAGCAAACCTACTCCTAGTGCCCAAGAGAAGCCGATTCCAGCCACAGGAATTTCTTGTGGTTAACTTCTGATTGGAAAGATAAAGACCTATTTTGTGAACATCTGTAGAATAGTAAATCAGAAAAACCCAACCAGAATTCCAGTCTTCCCGTTTTCTGCCAGATAGGGGCAATTACCCCCTTGGTTTTCTAAAAAAAATAAAAAAAACAAAATTGTTCCAGCCTCTGTCACCTCTGGGGTTCCCTGTGCGTGTGCATGTGATATGTGAGGCTGGTGTGGAGAATTTAGCCTGAGAGTCAGAGGGAGGGTTTCTAGCAGTGGAGTGACCTGCTTGCTCATGTCCAGGGGATCCAGCAGGGCAGCTAGAAAGAAATATGGTCTGGCACAATGGCAGGCTTCTCCTTGCCACTGGTGGAGGAGTTTGTTTCAGTTTAGGGATTAGTCGCCATTACCAGCTGATCAGTGGAACGTAGAGTTGGTTCATCCCCAAAGGAGTGCTTGCTAATCATGAAGACCTTAGAATAGCTGTGTGCTGGGGGTAAACAGAAAGAATTATAAAAAGAAGAGATTAAGAATGCTTTGTAGCATGTACCATAAACTGAAATGTCCCTTATTTTGAAAACCTGCTTTTAATTCTGCTCATCCCACGATTCTTAAAAATATAGTTCTGTCTAGAGAATAATTTAAAGATTTTCCTTATTATTTAACATACATTTGGTGACAGAAAGAGTGGGAAAATGCACTGATCTCAAGCCAATTGTGTATTTGTTTTTGTAAAATTTTTATAAAACATGCTGATTTCTGTCATTCTGTTTGCCATGTTCCTATCCCCGTGAGAACTGTATTCTAAAGCAGCATCCCCTGTTCTGAATGATACTCTGCAGAGCACGCACTCTGACCCTAATGCTCTGGGACTGGGCATCCTGTGCTAGAAGGAACCTGTGGGTTCCACCTGTCCCTCAAGGCTAGAGCCCTGAGAAGCAGGAGCCTCGTGTTAGCTCCTTCTCCCTCCCAACCAGTGGAGGTTCACAGGGCTCCGGCTCCTGAAACCTCCAGTAGCCCGAGACTTTCCTTCCACCCCCACCTTCCCTAACGCCATGCCTGCCGCAGGTGCAGTGCGAATGAGATGATTCCTGCCCTGTCAATCTCAGGGGAGCTACTCTTAATCTCTTCTGGGCTGTGGTCCCCTTTGAGGATCTGATGAAAGCTGTGGGCAAGATTTTGCATGTAACGTCAGGGGCTACCAGGAAACCCTTTTCCAGAGCAGGGCAGGCATCAATGCCCATCTCTTATCAGCAAATTCTTAGCAAAGTACAAAGTTGTAGTTCTTTACGAAGGGCAAAGGCAGCACTCTCATCTGTAACCTGGTGATAGCTGTATTATTAAGTTGTATTTTTATTACTACCCTCTTCAGCTAGCACTAGAAAGAGGTTGCCCGAGGAAGAGCCCACATCCTGGCACACTGCTCCCCATCAATATGGTTTTGCATGTATGTTTGTTATTGGGGAAAAAAACCAGCACAGATTTTTCAATATCCCTCTCCCGTCCTATTCAATGGTTTTCTTTTGTTGTTTTTCGTGATCCATTAGATTTTATACAGAACCACCAATTACCCACCGGTTGGTTTAGACTGTTGACTGGGAAGCCAAATATCATGTCTCCCTTACCCAGCGACTCAGCATTGTAGACTTTTGTTCTGTTCATTTAACTACGTGCTCTCTGCTTTTTTCCTAGAAAGGAATTTTCCTGAATTGAAATCAGTTAATAAAACTCTTTTTCTTTCTTTTTACAGCTTGTACCTCCTTTTAAACCTCAAGTAACATCTGAGACAGATACTAGATATTTTGATGAAGAATTTACAGCTCAGACTATTACAATAACACCACCTGAAAAATGTAAGTAAATTTAGAAGGCAATTGATAAATTTCTAATATAATTTCTCCTAATGTAATTGAAGAAAACAGTCTTTTAAAAACTCATCTGATATTTTCAAGATCAAATTCCACAGTGACTTACTCCATTCTATTTAAGAATATTGAATATTGAATTGAATTTAAGAATATTGAGTTCCCAGTGGTAATATCAAAAGACTGCAAGAAATGCTTTTCTGGGTAGGACAAATTATATAGAGAGAAATTGTAGATGAAATTACAGACTAGCTCTTCCTTACTGTTCACCAATAGATTGTTTTGACACCAACTGAAAGGATTGTGAAATAGAGACTCCCCTCTTTCCTAGACTTCGTTCATTCCCACATAACCTTCAGAATTTTGCCAGTTTTGGTCTCCTACTTACTTAATAGTTTTAAAATTCATGTAGAGTCACTCCTTTTTACTTAGCTCTCTCTTAAATAGTATTATCTGTGAAGACATAATTTAGTTTGCTAATACTTTTGGATACCTATAAATTACATATTTATGAAAACTGTGTGTTCATGTACCACTTCAAGTCAATTCATATACATTAGTATGTCTCACACTTGGAGAAATACCATAAATAAGTGGAGCTGTAATGAGGGAAAAGGTGATCAGACATAATTGATAAACATTTTCATGCTGACAGAGGTCTGTGTGTATCATCATTAACTTAAGAATGTGGATAAGATTGCGTTTCAGGGCAATATTTGGATGGCTGCAAGAATGCTTCAAGTTACACATCTTTGGGTTCACATCATAGTTTTTCTTTCCTTTTCTTTTTGATTCCTTCCCTATATGTCTTCTCCTCTCATTCCTTTTTTGGAGGCAGATTTATCCATAGTGCTGATGTGGACTCAGTGTCCGGGAGAGGGGCGATTGGAGGCTAATGCTGTGCCAGAGATGGTCACAGGCAGCAGATTCTACTGTCGAGAGGCAAACAAGGGGTCATGTGGGCCAAGAGGTCTTAATCTTGGGACCATGGTCTGGCCACAAGGGGATTGTGAACACCCTGAAAGTGAAGATATGATGACGTGTGTGTGCTTTTCTTTCTTTAGATTCACAAAAAGTTAAGGTGCTCCAGGTCCTGAAGTTGGGTCAGCCATAGCCAGAAGCAGGGCTTACCAACTTGACCGATGTCCAGGCTAAGTTGTGAAATACCAATCCATTGAAGTGAGCTACTCATGGTCAGTCCTGTGGTGAGGCAGAGTTTCCACTCAATCTTGTGCCATTGCTAGAATTTTAGAATCACTAAGAGTCACAGACAATGTTGGAAAGCCTGTGGAGTCATGGGCAAGTAGCTCAGCGCTGAGTAGAAATCATGGGCATAGGCCTTGGCCTCTGTCCCCAGCATAGACTGTGGCATTAGAATTGTCCAAAATGCTGGGTAACACCAGTGAGTTTTCGGATCGGCCCATGGGCAGTTCCTGCCATACAGCCTTTGCTAGGCCCTTTCATTTGGATATAATCCTAACTGTAATCAGACCACATCATTCCTCTGCTTAAAACCTTCCGGTGCCATCCCATTGCACTCTAAATCCAAACTTGCTCACACTGGTTTGCACAGCACTGACTGATCTGGGCCCTGTCCACCTCTCTGACCTCTTCCTGTTCCATCTTCCCCCACTGTCCCTGGGTTCCAGCCACACCTCGAACATGCCACACGTCACCATGCCTCGGGCTCTGGGGACAGTATTTATGGTGTCCAGGCCTGGAATGCTCTTCTTCCCTGATCTTACTTGGATGGCTCCTTCTTGTCCTTCAGCTCTAAGCTTACATGTCATTCCATCAGAGAACCTTCTTTGACCTCCTAGTCTGAAGAGCATCAGTCTGACAACATTCCCTCTCTCTCTTCATTCTCTGCATTGGCACCTTGACTTGCTGGTATTTTTCTGTTTGTTTGGTTAGTGTCTATTTCCGCCACTAACATGCAGTGGGTTGGAGAGGAAGGATCTAGTTTGTCTCATTCGTTATTAGCCCAAGCTCCTAGTTAGATGCCTGGCACAGTGTGCGTATTCAATAATACTTGTTAGGTGCATGAATACACAGAATATGGTGAGGGCCTAGGAACTTCAGAGCCGGGAGGACACCCAGGCTTGCCTCCCCTCTGAATATCCAAAGCAGATATTGGGATAGGAAGGTCTTGACAGGTCTCTTTCCTCAGTCTCAGCCTCTGAGAAAGTTTCCATTCTTAAATAGAGCATTTGGCATTTGCGTACCTTTAGAGCAAGTAAATATGTTATTTTGGAAGTCATAGAAATAAGAAGGCTCTAAAATGTCAAGCCAGGAGTAGATATTTTACTTAAGAAAGCTAAAAGTGAAATCCCAATTTGGGACATGGAGTGAGGCTGAAAAAGCCCAGGACTCAGACCTGGGGAACCTGCCTTGTGTCCTGCCTGTGCCCCTTACAGTTCTGGGCGATGGCCGGTCACTTTGTCCCCTGGAAAAGCAGGGAGCAGGGCTGATAGTCTCTCAGTGGCGTTTTTGTCCTCCCGTGTGCCTGAGAAGCCGTCTCTTTAGGAGAGGCACCGAGAGTTCTGCCAATTTGAATCACCCTATTTTCAATTCTGCTCAAGCACCAGATTGGCTAGTCCATAGTGTTACTGTATGCTGTGGGCCAGTCCATTTAGGGGGATGATAGGCCCAACGCAGCAAGCACCTGGCTGCAGGGGTGGTGTAGTGGAGGGCCGGCGGACAGGGCTGACTAATGCGATGCTCAGAAATGTGAGACTAGAAAGACCAGAGCAAATCAAAATGGATTTGGGTACAAATAAGGTCAATTAGAAACTGTTGTATATGACTCTTAGGCTAGTCAGTCATTTTTTCATGATTGACTTGAATTTCAAAGCCCTAGCTTTCAAGGACCAGAATCTCTTCGAAATTCATCTTACCTGCTTTATTCCTTACTCGACACCCGCGGGGCACTTGTCCTGATGAGAATTTGTCATTAGTGTGCATTTTATTGCTCAATCTCTAGGACTTCTAAAATGAGACTGAAATGTTAGAAGGTGTTAGAAGTCCCCCAGCACAGTTTCTAGAACATAATTTGAACCTAGTTCCTTGGCTTCATTAATCAGCAATATAAAAGCCATCAAGAATGTTTTTCCTGGCATGTCATATTTTACCACTGACAGCACCTCTGTTCTTAAATAACATGTGTCATTTCAGACATGGATCATGCTGTAAAAGCCCTACAACCTTGGTGTCTTTAAATGATAATAGGTTCACTTCTAGATTGAGACAGAGATACCTAGGAAGCCTGTACATTGTAGTAACTTTCAAGATGGTTATCAAAATCCACCTGCAATTGTAGGACCACAAAAGTCTGGCTTTTGTCTAGGCGCAGTGGTGCACACCTGTAATCCCAGCACTTTGGGAGGCCAAGGCGGGTGGATCACTTGAGGTCAGGAGGAGTCTGAGACTAGCCTGGCCAACATGGTGAAACCCCCTCTCTACAAAAAAAAATACAAAAATTAGCCAGACGTGGTGGTGCATTCCTGTGATTCCAGCCACTCGGGAGGCTGAGGCAGGAGGATCGCTTGAACCCGGGAGGCAGAAGCTGCACTGAGCTGAGATCACAACATTGCCCTCCAGTCTGGGTGACAGAGCAAGACTCTGTCTTTTAAAAAAAAAAAAAAAAAAAAAAAAAAGTCTGGCTTTTGTGGGTGTCAGAAATGGGGTGTGGTCCTGCCCTGCTCCTGGGCCCTGGACAGTACGGAAACGAGAGCCCAGCAATGTCATCTGTTTCTGACAGGGCACACCGCAATTGAGGGGTGGGGAGGGCGCTATGGACTTGCTGTGTTTTTCCCTATTCAGGACCTCTGTAGCAAGGAAAGTCAGACGGAAGAGCTCAGCAGAGTATGCCCAGGCAAAGACTAGCATCGACGCATCTGCAGGCACCTCTGTTCAGCAGCCTCTCCTGCTGTCTGTGTGGCTCAGCAGAGCGCAGCGCTCAGCACTGGGGGCCATGGGGCCCTGGGCTTCCTGTCTTAGGGGAGCAGCCTTGATGGTGGTTAACTGCAGCTTCTGGGTTCTTCTAGGGCAACGGGGCAGTATTTTTAGTTTGACAGTTCCTGGATACATCCTAGATTCCCTTAAGGAGCAGATAAAATGAGAATCACTGAAACCTTGAACGGTGATTACATTCAACATAACCTTTTTCTTGCAGCTTTGAATAGTTTAACTGGTAAGAAACCGTTGCAGCTCCCTAAGTGCTAACACACAGAGGTTTTGTTGATAAAAGTCCAGGGTAGTACCATTCGTTAGCAATTGTCTTCCCACTTGCCACCTTGCTTGTATAAAACAGAATACAGTTATTGTTTAGAACAAATCAGCAGTTAGAAAGGCAAAATGTTCCATTTTCTACAAACAGCTGCAGTGACATGCCAGATTGTCCTCACTGGCGTTAATAATGGAACAGATTTGGGAATGTGTCATCTTTCGTTATCGCCATTGATGGTCCTCCTCCTTCCTCTTACAGAAAAAGAGGGTTTCTTTGAGATCTGGTCGCTTTTACTGCCATATAATGCCATTTGTTAAATGTTCTAAGAAAATCAGGCAACTGATGTTCCTTGGATGCAGGGATTCAAGGGATGTAGCAAGTAGAGTTGATCATTGTCTTCTTTTTCCAGATAAGTGTTTTTGAAAAACATAGTTCATGTTCATTATCATCACTATTCCCTATGCACAGCCTCTCACAGCAGGAACTAACTTGTGTACATTGACAGGCTCCGACTCAGAGTCAGCTGCCACTTCCTCCAGCTCCCCTCCCACCGCAGCCCCTGCCCAGGCTCTCAGCTCTTTTAGGGCCATGATCAGATGTTCACGCCTCATTGTTTCCAAGCCTGACAACAGAAAGGGGCAGGAATGATGGAGGGAGATCATTGGCTTTAAAGAATATCAAGGATTGGGGCCCTCAGGGATATCTGTGAAATTTCCTAGATTCAGAATTGTGATGAATGTGTTACTGAAGTGACAGAATGAAGGCTGTCTCTCAATTCTTAGCTGACACCAGCAAGAGTCCCTCCTCTTCCAAAAGGGTGTCTAGCACCTGCCCCTGTTGAGCATCTGGCTAACCTGGGTGCTGAACCTCGCCGGGCTGGAATGAGTCCTGGCCATGGCCCCAGGAGTCCAGGCAGCTCCTGCCCTTCCTGGCTGAGCAGGACAAGCACCAGGCTCCCCACTGCTGTCCAGAGCCAGCTGCAGGTTTGCTGTGCAGAAACACTGAGTAAAATAAAGCTGTTGGTGAGGAAAATTGTTTATTTGAAATGTGATTGGCTCATGTCAGAATCTGAACATTAAGGTTTTAGCTGCCCGTATTCTCTAGAGAGTTTTTATACTCTGGGGCTCAACCACGGGTACACCATCATTCCCAGCTCCTTCCGTTTTTACTGTAGCTAAAAATACTGCTGAAGGTATTTGATCTAAAAGATGTGTGTGACTTGCTTGGTACAAATATTGGAACCAATAACTTTATAAGGAGGTAGAGATTTCCCCAAATCTCAATACCTTCTAGAAATGCTGACTGCAGTTACAGTGGTCTATTTGCAGAAGAAGAGAGGGCCTCCGAGTTCAGTGTCTTACACAGAGCAGGGAGCCACAAATGCTTCTTGATGGATCAGTTCTCACCTAATACGAGGATATCTTCTGGTACATTAGGGGTCAGAAATTTTGGCTAATGCCAGCTTGATCCCATTTCTAGAATCTTCTGCATTAAGAGTGGGATACAGAAAAGAAAAACAGTGATACAAGAATGGAAGTGTTTATTCTTCAGACAAAGGCAGAGCCCCCTCCTCTTCGGAGTGACAGAGTCAGAGCCTCAGTGCAGTGGGATCTGGCCTGTATGCTTTCTTTGTTTACACCCACATCCAGCGGATGCTCCCTGGAGAGGTTAGAATATTCAAAAAAATTGGTAATGTACTTCCTATATGGGTTTGAGGACATCGAATTATTTTGCTTGAAGAGAAAAGGGTTGAGTATTGGAAAGATTCACTGATTTCCATTGCAGGACAGCATATGATTAAACAAGCTTAGAGGCAAGCACGGGGGATTTAAAATGGAGCACCTCCCCCAGGAGACTGTGAGGCCAGGGGGCCCTTGGGACTTTGTTCAAAGTTCTGCGGTCCTTGGGCCTGACGGGTGCTCAGCCCAGAGCAGATGCGTGGGAGCGCATGTTGACTGAGTGGCTGACCACGTGGCCACATACCAGGAAGAGCTTCCAACAGCACAGGACTGTCATCACAGGACATTTATGAGAACAGGGTGCTGATCATCTGTGATCTTTGAAATACAGGAAACCAGGAAAGCTGACAGGAGGAACACTGTGATTGTCAGCGGCCTGTTTTGATGCCTTTCAAGTCTCTTCCATTGTTTCCTGATGAGCTAGGACTCAGATGTTGACATCCTTCCCTCTTTTTCTTTCACTTAGTCCCTTCATGCTAAAGTTTTATCATAGGGAAATTGGGAAAGGTGAGTTAAGCCAGATGCTAGATGTTGAATGAAATTTCATAAGAAGCTTTATTTTGCAGTTGCACTTAAAGCATCACAAAGAAAAAATATAAGCACTTGAAGACATTCGATGATGAATTCTATACAGACTTTGGATGCTGTGGATTTCACTGACTTGCAGTTTTGATATATGTGGTTACATGAAATGAAAGGTTACTGAAGACTGCTCCTTCTTAAAAACTTCTGTTTTCTTCAATACCATTTTTTTCACTGTTTCATTGAGTCTTGAAATTTTGATGTCTTAGAGATGATTCTATAGTATTATTTCTTCATAGACTATGTATTTATGAAAATCAGATGATTTTTGAAGTATAATTACTCTACAGCTTATTGATGAACACAAGTTTATGGGAGCTATTGCCTCTGTTCATCTTTCCTATGTTCAGAGTTTAAAAAACATAGACTAGAGATAATGTTGCAAAAAATGAATGTGTAAAATTAAAATAGATGTTTCCTGCCCACAGATGATGAGGATGGTATGGACTGCATGGACAATGAGAGGCGGCCGCATTTCCCTCAATTTTCCTACTCTGCAAGTGGACGAGAATAAGTCTCTTTCATTCTGCTACTTCACTGTCATCTTCAATTTATTACTGAAAATGATTCCTGGACATCACCAGTCCTAGCTCTTACACATAGCAGGGGCACCTTCCGACATCCCAGACCAGCCAAGGGTCCTCACCCCTCGCCACCTTTCACCCTCATGAAAACACACATACACGCAAATACACTCCAGTTTTTGTTTTTGCATGAAATTGTATCTCAGTCTAAGGTCTCATGCTGTTGCTGCTACTGTCTTACTATTATAGCAACTTTAAGAAGTAATTTTCCAACCTTTGGAAGTCATGAGCCCACCATTGTTCATTTGTGCACCAATTATCATCTTTTGATCTTTTAGTTTTTCCCTCAGTGAAGGCTAAATGAGATACACTGATTCTAGGTACATTTTTTAACTTTCTAGAAGAGAAAAACTAACTAGACTAAGAAGATTTAGTTTATAAATTCAGAACAAGCAATTGTGGAAGGGTGGTGGCGTGCATATGTAAAGCACATCAGATCCGTGCGTGAAGTAGGCATATATCACTAAGCTGTGGCTGGAATTGATTAGGAAGCATTTGGTAGAAGGACTGAACAACTGTTGGGATATATATATATATATATAATTTTTTTTTTTTAAATTCCTGGTGGATACTGTAGAAGAAGCCCATATCACATGTGGATGTCGAGACTTCACGGGCAATCATGAGCAAGTGAACACTGTTCTACCAAGAACTGAAGGCATATGCACAGTCAAGGTCACTTAAAGGGTCTTATGAAACAATTTGAGCCAGAGAGCATCTTTCCCCTGTGCTTGGAAACCTTTTTTCCTTCTTGACATTTATCACCTCTGATGGCTGAAGAATGTAGACAGGTATAATGATACTGCTTTTCACCAAAATTTCTACACCAAGGTAAACAGGTGTTTGCCTTATTTAATTTTTTACTTTCAGTTCTACGTGAATTAGCTTTTTCTCAGATGTTGAAACTTTGAATGTCCTTTTATGATTTTGTTTATATTGCAGTAGTATTTATTTTTTAGTGATGAGAATTGTATGTCATGTTAGCAAACGCAGCTCCAACTTATATAAAATAGACTTACTGCAGTTACTTTTGACCCATGTGCAAGGATTGTACACGCTGATGAGAATCATGCACTTTTTCTCCTCTGTTAAAAAAAATGATAAGGCTCTGAAATGGAATATATTGGTTAGAATTTGGCTTTGGGAGAAGAGATGCTGCCATTTAACCCCTTGGTACTGAAAATGAGAAAATCCCCAACTATGCATGCCAAGGGGTTAATGAAACAAATAGCTGTTGACGTTTGCTCATTTAAGAATTTGAAACGTTATGATGACCTGGCAACAAAAAGTAATGAAGAAAATTGAGACCTGAGTGAAGATAAGAAATGATCTTTACGTGGCAAAATGAACACATCTTGAGTATTTAGGAAATGGGCAGTGAAGGCTAAGAACCTGGTGTGTTTCTTGGGATCATGGTACATTTATCACTGAATTAAGCCATCAGGGAAAAAACAACAAAAAAAGAGAACACCTCCAGCTTTTCTTTTTCTGTATATACTCATGTCCCCCAGATTCCAACATTTCTCACTGAAAGGGGGCATGTATGCAAACCTCATCTTTCTCCTTCATTAATGATGATCTTCAGATTAAACCCTTTGGTGCTAGGAGCTGACAATTTCCAAAGCAGCCTGTGAAGTCCTAGGGGCTGGGGGCCACTCTTGCGGCAAGCAGAAGGCCATCCTACTCCGCGGAGTGATCATGGAAATGTATTTTAGTTAAACTCTGACAGCTCCCAAACGGAAGACTACAGCATGACGTAGTATTATGATTGCATTGTATGAAAGAGCAAGTGACTTTCTAAGTAGGATGAATCATATTCATATGCAGATGTCTTAGCCTCTTGACGCTGGAAGTGTGGATTTATAGCTATGAAACCACTGCTGGCAGTGGGTGGGCCACTGGGACTGACGGGGGTTAAAGGGCATTTTACTAAGGCAGCTAAGACATATTCAGACATCAACGTTATCCTTCTTTTTCATATTTCTACCTGAGTGAAGTTCATCCTTAGTATTGAGTAGGAAGTTACAGTAAATGGTAGTTCATTCTTACTTACACACATAGCTAATCTTTTTTTTTTCACTTGGAATTATGTTGAATGTTTCATTTTGACAAAAAAGTAGACTAGAAGGTATGTTCTTTAAGTTGTCTTGCATCCATTATATAAGAAAGAAACAGGTGAGAGGAAGAGCAGAAAGCTGAGACTGGCTGATGTTCAGAGCACTTACTCCTCTAGAGGGAAAGCATGACACCGAACACTAAGCACACAGCTTTTTGTTGTTTTGGTTTTTTCTCCCGCAAATCTTAAAGTGATTCCCATGACCTTGGCCAAGGACACTTCTTAAAGATTAATGACTGGCACTGACATTGCCCCAGGCGGGCCACTCCTCACACTGGCTCTCAGTTCCCAGCCATGCCTGGGGCTCAGTCACTTCTATTCCACCCTCTGAGACTCCATTGGTGTCACACAAGGTGTCTTCTTGGCTTTGATTTTGAGAATCCCCTATTTTCACTTCCAGATCTGTCAGCTGCCATGGAGGAATAATAGAAAACCAGAAATGCGTGTAGAGGGAGATTTCTAAAACTTCCCTTGTGTCGCCCATAGTTGTAGTTTTGGGTTCTGGCAGGTGGAACACCCTGAAACCTGGAATCATTCTATGAGAATACAGTTCAGACTTTGCAGACTCCAGCCCATACTAACTGTCATGAAGCTTGACTTCTTGTCATAATGCAGCCATCTTGGAGGAAATTGGCCATTTCTGCTTAGATGGTTGGCAGGGTCGCGCTCAGCTTTGCTTTCTACACTAATTACATAGCATTATTCAAGTATTGTTTTCCATTTCCCATCCCTGATTTCCAGCTTCTTAAAGCTGACTGTTCTTGCAGGGGCCACTTGCTTCTCCTAGAGTACAAAAGTAAGGGCCTTCCTTACTAACTGCAGGGTCTCTCTATTACACCTCAACATACACACTTTGCTGCTACTGTTTGTACTGTCTACAGTAGAATTTCCTTATCTTGCTCCTGGTAGTGCATTACAGGCAAGCATGAAATGTAAAGTATTTATTTAAATAAAAAGAAAACCTCTAAATTGGTAATTGAATTACCTCCCTGTAGCTTTATAGTTTGTGACATTTCTTGACCTTGCTAGTTCTTTCATTAGATCTGCGCAAGATCTAGTCATCTGGTTAAGGATTTTAAGCAGATGCAACTATAAACCCAAGAAACTGTATTACTATTACTGTTGGTCATACTAAACCTGTCTATTTCCTGAAGTATATGACCCACAAGGATGTGGAATAACTAGGAGAAACTGTTTTTGTACACTGTACATCCTTAGTATTTTTACACGTATATGATAGGGATGAACATGATTTTCCTTCGTACAGACAGCTTAAATAAAGCACTATGTCAATCTGCTACTTCTCTGTTTATTGTTGTTGGATGTGGTTCTATAATCCCCCCAAATTAAATCTTCTTTAATGAAAACATGATTTTTAATAGCCCCAGCTGGTATTAACCTACCTTGTATAAAATGTGACAGGAAAATATAGAAATAATTCCTTGTAGCTCACACACACACACATAGGGGATCATTTTTACTTCAGTGAAATGGCAGTAGTGCGGTTGTGCAAACTTTGATGAACGGCTGCTTCTGAGGGGAAACGCTGACCTCTCAGCACTGGATTTAGGATGGATGTACTGTGAAGCCAGGGATGAAGGAGGTCTCAGACCCTGGGGACATTCAGACCCGAATCATCTATACAACACACGGTTTGGACCCAGAATCTGAAGGAATGTAGCTTTTCATTAACGTCTTCCTGATAATGTACTGCTCTGCATATTTCCTTTCTTAGAGTGTATTTCTAACAACATGTCATGGCAAATTAACAAACTTAGACGTGGGTGATGTAGATGGGTAGGATGGCTGGACTGCAGTCTGACTTCACGTTGAATCATTCTGGATGGGGCCTTTTTCTGATTTTACCTCATAAAGCTACTATTGTAGAAACTTGGCTTTGCTCCTGTGACGAAGCCAGACAGAGGAATGGCTTTTGGGACCAGAGTGAGTCAAGCATGTATGTGTATGTCACACGGCCAAATTTGAGGGCATTCTCACATGTGCTCTTCTCTCAAAACCACTGGGGTTGACAGATCCAGGAGGCTAAAAAAAAGTGACCTCTATAATTCTTTAAAGGTGCTATTTTTAGAATATTGTATAATTTATTCACAGTATATCTAAAACAGAATTAAGGACAATTAAAATATCTTATGTGACAGCCTTTATGTCTAGCACATTTGATGAAATAAAAAACTTCTGAATCTGAATAGAAGTTCTACTGTTTCAGGCTTGAACCTTTTACATGCTCAAGAGATTCAAATGGTCTCTGTGTGTAGATCATGCCACCGCCTCCAAAGCCTAATCCACATCACTTCTGAGAGGCAAGGCTGAGCATATGGTGACATCAGCTCTGTGTTGAGATGGTGATGAGGATGATGGCTCGCTGGCCAGGCAGGGCAGCCGAAGGTCAGGGACCTGTCCTAACTAACTGCAGCCTTGCCTTTAGTGTTTGTCATTCTCAGATACAACACGGTATGTCCAGTGTCCGTTTTTATTACTTTAAAGCATTTGAGGGCTTAATTGTGTATAGTAGAAATACTATTTTAGACAAATAATTATCTGTGTACAGATATTTGATATACTCTAAGTAAATTTTCTAATTTCACTAAGTACGTTTTTAGGCTCCTCTCAAATACTGCGTATTGAAGAAAAAAATCTGACACCACCGAGCCAAAGATGCTTTTTTGTCTGTTTTCGTTGTTTAACAGAATGGAAAGAGTAATGCATAGTGCTTCCTGGTGTCTCCTGATTGATTGATTGTGCACAAAGTAGGACGATAAATAAATAAAATGGAGTCTGATGGGACATTGATTAAAGGTGAAGGATGATTGATATATAGATCATGAAAAGAAAAATGAATGGCAGGAAAAAAAGTTTGGTCCTTAATATACTTTGGCCTAGTTAAAATATGTGCCTTTTTGGTGTGTTTTGTTCATCACTACAAGATAAAAAGGAAACATTACAACTCAAGTCTTTAAAAAGTTCATTTATTGAAAATCATATGTATAACCTAGCATACGAATGAGCAGATTTAAACACATAACTTCAAGCCATTTCTGAAAACATACACCAGGAGCTCTGCTCAGCTAGAGTCAGACTCCAGCTCCAGCCCGACTGCGTGCGGGGACAGCGCCCGCGTTGATGAGGACCAGCCCCACTGCAGGCTGAGGCGGTGTCACCCTGGGAAGGTCGTGGTGCGTTGTGGCATATTAAGTCTAAACCAGATGAATGTAAATATCTCTTTGTAAATCATTTATTTCACTCTGTTCCATCCAGGTCAGCAATCAGATTGTGGCATGCTGGGTAACTGGAAAAAATAATAAAAAGTAAGTTTCAATAGCTCATGTTCTTCAATGTTATTTGTCTTCTCATTTGCTGGTTTAGTCACCTTTTATGATGAAAACTGTTGTTGGAGAAAAAAACCTGTTGCTAAAAATGTGGAAATTATATGAAAAGTTTGTGCCTCATCTTGTCCACATCAAAGCCCTTCACATATGAAATAAGGTTAACTGGTTTAATGGGTTAAATTTGAAGACAACCTAGACAAAAGACACGCCTGCCTCTTAAATAAGGACAGTCTGGTGTTAGGACATGGCCAGAGAGCCATCTCTTCTGTCCGGGAAAGGACACATTGATTTGTGCCATAATCTGTTTACTGAAAATTTATCTGACCTTAACGGCAGGTAATTCTAGAACAAAAACAGGGTGTAGGCCAAGTGCCCCTAAGAAATTCCTCGTGAAACAATACAAGCTGAAACACCTCCAAATTTGTAACTGCAAGCAATTTATTGTAACCTATGAAAAAGTACTTTCACATGGAAACCTCACATGTGTTGGAAGAGGGGATTGGGTGTACTGAGGTCTCTTAGTTTTACGCAGATACAAATGTTCCAAAGTAGCTTCATGCAGATCAGGTTGGGGGAGAATCACAAGTTCAGAAAGTATTGAATACTGTTCCTGGCCTCTGCTGCCATGGCTGCCCAAATTAGTTTAAACCACATCAGGAACTAGAGTCAGAAGCCACTGGAAATGTTTCCACTCCACAAAGCATGTCTGGAGTTTCTACTGTGCACTGTGTGGGAAGGTGACTGGGCCACAGTCCTCGCCCTCTAGATTGTGAAGTCCAGAGAAAAGCCAGGATGGTATTTTCCAAATCCCGGTTTCTACGTCAGATAAATTGGGACGCACTGCAGGGCCAGGGGCCCAATCTGGTCCCTCTTTCTTTAGTTAGGAACCATCTTCCAAAAAGAGAAGTGGGCCTGCCCCTCTCCAGTGAGGATTTTCCAAGCTGGACTCCAAGGGAGGACTCTATCAACCTAATTTAAGCCATCATTAACATGGGGATTTCCAAGACAGGGCAATGAGTGAAACTGAATCCGCATTCAAGAGAAATATATGAACATCAGCCTGTTGCCTTTTATGAAAAATGAGAAAAAGTAATGTTTACATTTCAAGTAGATTTCCCAGTGTGTGAGAGACCCTGAGGACAACTTTTTCTTGAACAGGTCTGTGAGTAGTGGGGTGGTCTCAGCAGGGTAGTTAGAGTAGGTGGGGGGCCTGGCCTCAGGCTGAATGCAGGTGGGGCTCCGGCAGGAGGCCTCACTCCTCCTCGTAAACCTGCCATCCCATGCACACAGCCCTCCCAGGCCCGTGGAGCCAGGTGGACAATTTCCTGGGCCCACGGGATGCTTTGTTCTCCAGGCCCTGTCTGAGTGGCCCATGAGGAGTCCACCCCATGCACTATGCCCTAGAGCCCTGCCATTGCAGAGGGGACTCCCTTCTGTCCTCAGTGGGATACTGACAGCACGGAGACTGCCACCAACACGATCTGATTGTCAAACGCAGGGTTTGCACCAAGCTGACGTGCCCTCCAGGCCAGGTGATCGAACTGACCCAGCACAGTCCTGCTAAATGACTGGTTTGAATGGCCCTCCACCCCTGCTCCATGGATTGGCCACATAAGGCAGGTGGCCTGGTGGCCTCGCTCTTGACACAGTGGCTTCCTAACTTTAGAAATGCTAGGATGACTGAATACAAAAGGGATAAGCATAAATCCCAACAGATAACACTTCAAAAGAAAAACAACCCAACAGTGGCTCACACCTGTAATCCCAGTGCTTTGGGAGGCTGGGGCAATAGGATCGCTTGAGTCCAGGAGTTCGAGACCAGCCTGGGCAACATAGTGAGACCTCATCTCTACAAAAAAAATTGTAAAAATTAGCCATGTGTGGTGGCGCACCCCTGTAGTCCCAGCGACTCAAAAGGCTGATGTAGGAGAATTGCTGTAGCCCAGAATTCAAGGCTGCAGTGATGAATTTTGGGTAGAGAACACACCCACGTACACACAATACAGAATAGGCGTAAAGACCTGAAGTAAAAGTAAAATGTGTTGCGGAATTTTTTGATAAGCTCCAGGAAACAGGCATTTCTCATGATGAGTCTACATAATGCCTGTGGGCTCCCAGGCCACCTAGCAATTTATCACTATCGGAGCTGTTCCAGAAACGGGTGACCTCCTGATTCCGTGGGCCTGCATGGGGGTGACACAGATGTACGGGCCTCACCAGGAACCAATCAAAAGTCAGCCTGATTCCTTCCTGCGGCAGATCAGCCATGGCCATCTCTATGGGCTTTGTATTTCCTGCGGTTCAGGTGAGAAGCCCCATATCCATCCCCACTTTCACACTGTTGAACTTACCGTTCACTGCTCAACGCCCCCCCCCCCACCCGTGCCTACAGCCGTGCCTGACCCATGGTGAGCGTTCAGTCAGCACTGGAGGGCTGGATAATTTGTCCTAGGAGGTCACCGTTTTGTCGCCTCCATTTGCTGACTCTTTGGTAACACACATTTCTCTGACCGAGACAGAAGCCTTAGTTACTGCCCACATCTGGCTTGTCTGCCATTAGGGATATCCACGATGCTTATTTCCAGGAAGTCCTGTCATCAACACCACAGTGATCATGGTCTCGTCCAGGAGAGTAGAGCGTGCGTATGCCAGTGGGACATGAGCCCTCAGCCAGTGTCTCCCGTCCTTCTGCCCTTCCATTTGTCATCATGGCCCTTGCTGTGGCCCTCCTGTGGCTGTCCTGCAGCTCAGAGGGGGGCGACAGGGCGCCCTGGCCACTGCTCCCCTGCCGTGCTGTCCACAGGTGGTGGAAACGTGCCCCCATCTGCAGGCACACAGCTGCTAACCCATTTTCTTTGTTCTCATTTTAAATCCTATCGGAGTCATCTCTCCACAAACCCTGCCTCATTTATTTCTAAAGTTTGTTAAGTTCTGAGTGTAAGAAATCAGTTGCTCTGGGTGACCTGAACTGTTCCCCAGGCAACCACACTGTGGGGTCCAGCCAGCCTTTGCTGCTGCTTTGTTCCCAAACCAGCCAGAAGTGGCAGCCCGGGGAGATGGTGGCACCCCTCGCCCCTGCTCACAGGAGACCTGCCCGGGCTTCGCACTTCACTGTCTCCGTGGGTGGCTCTAGCCAACCCTTCTGAAGGTAACAACCCCTTCCCCCCCTGCTGTCCGCTCTGCTCACTGGCACGCTGTCTCTGTTTGGCCAAGTCAAAACGTGGTCCTGTTCCTTGTGTGTCTGGCAATAAAGCATCCATTTGTAACTGGAGAGGGCAGGCCCCTCCCCCTACCTCCATCTGGGGCATTTCAAAGCTGGCCCTGAGTTGACAGAGCTCCAGGGCAGCCCCTGCCTCGCTTGGTGGCTCGCCTCCCGCCTCCGCCTCGTGTTCTGGGCACCGGGGCCAGGGCTCGGCAGCTGTTCCAGCCAGGCCCGGCTCCGCCCGCACCCGCTCGGGTACCTGCCCCCATCCACACATCCTGTGGCCTGAGAAGAAGTTCATTTCCCTGCCCAGCCACTTCCCAATTCCATTCACTTCATTTCTCTGGGCCTTATTTTTCTATCTGTACAAAATGGTTATTTATCTCAAATGGCCCTTTCAAGCCCACAATGATCTCAGCACTAATCCTGTTGGTTTCATAATCATCTGTGCTGGGCTCTGGGTAATATGAGGCACTTCCTTTTAAAGGGAAGCTGGTTCTTTCTTTTTCTCTGCCAGAAATCAAGTGACATGAAAGCTAACACATGTCTCTGAAGCAACGCAGAGCTGAGATTCGAATCCAGGCAGTTTGACCTCAAAGTCCAGACTCTCCCATGCGAGGCTCTCCTGCTTGCTCTGGCAGATGAGGGGCAGCCAGTTTGATATCTACGGAATTAAGCTGCCAAATTGGGAAGGCAACCTGGATGAAATAAGCCACGTGAGCTCTGGCTCGCCACCAACGCACTGAGGAGAGAGGTGCCCTCAGCATGCTGGGCAGAACGTCGGGGAAACGCGGCCTTCGAGCAGGACCGCCCACCTGTCAGAAGGGAGCACTCCTCTACAGAGCCGAGGGGCAGTCAGCCACCCTCAGGCCCCTGCGGCCCTGCTGTCCCCAGCACAGCGACTGAAGTTCTCACTGAGGGGCCTCGTCCCCTCCGGGTCAGGCCTTTCCAGGAACCTGGCTCTGCCAGCTGCAAAGCAGGCGGGGGCTCACGGTTAAGGCCATCGCAGGGCAGCGGCCATTCTTCCCTCCTGGCTGCCCGGCTGGGCCCCTGATAACAGCCTCCACACCGCAGTCAGAGTTCAAAGCCCTCCTTCCCTTCCACCGCAGGGCTTGGCTTTGCTGCTTCTGGGCTCCGAGAAAGGAACAGGGCCGCAGAAACCAGAGGAATGGAAAGGTATCCACAGAGAAGGCCGCCTTGCAGACATGAAGTGGGACGTTCCGTAAGACAGCATCTCGAGCTGGACTTGGCGGGGAGAGGGAGGCGGCCCCGCACAGGCCAGGGAGGCCCCAGCACACATGAGGCCGGGGTGGAGGCCCTGGCTCTGCGGTGCCACCTGTCCTCCCCAGGGCGCACCCAAGCCCAAGGGTTCCTTCCCAACCGTGGGGTCTGAGTTTGTCATCTTCCAGCTTTCTCAAGTCCCCTGAGTCATGAGAACTTCCTCTACACACAGGCAGGTCTGTGTTTTATATGAACCATGTTTCCATGGTAAATAGATTTTAAGAATTCCCAAAGGACAGACAGTGTCACCAACAGCAGAGAGTGGAGCCTCTGGCTGCCTCATGTTTGAAAGTGTTAAAAATAAAGACAACACTGACATTTGGGGTTGTAATGTGACGGAATTACAGTCTTTTAAAGGCAAGAACCACTTATCTACACTACATGCAATATTCAGTGTTTTGTTCACTTGTCTAATTGGATTAAAATATTTAGCTCCCTTTAAAATCTTGATTGTGAATTTATATTGTGAAATGTAATGTCTGACTCAGGAAGCAATAAGTAGAGTGAATGTATCTGAAGGAATATAAAATTCAATTGACTTTTCTCCCATGATTCTTATTCTGAAAGTACTCACTCTTGGACAAAGTGAACTGTTAACGGAAGAGCAAGTCTGGCTAAAATGAAGCCCTATGCGCTTTTCAATATTAATTATACACGGGGCGCTCAGTCAAAAAACAAAAAGTTTAACTGTCTGCTGTTGGAGGTGTTTGGGGAAGTTTCTCCGAAGGTCGCGAGATGCTTATGTTAGACATGCAGCACCCAGGGTCTTGTGTCATTTTTTAAAAACACTCAGGCAGCAGGGAGTTAATGACATTTTAGCTGCATATGTTCAAGTTTATTTAAAAAAATATGCAAGTCACTTTGGTTGACAGTGTCTTGTACACAGTTTTGAAAGAATCAGGGCAAACTTTAACAGAGTCAGTTTTTATTTGAAAAATATTTTCTGGGAATGTATCAGTGTTTATTTTTGAGACTGACAATTCGGGTGAAAATCAGGATAAAAACAAAAAAACAACAATTTGGTTGAAATCAAATTGTTTGTTTTCATCTATTTAGAATTCTTTCCAAAAAATCTTGGTTCAGGAGGAGGCTTTTTAATTTATTTTATTCAATGTATTTGCTGTTCTATTCAAGCGCCATCTGTCTTACAGGTAGCTAACTTTGTGGTAGCTCCTAAGTCAGCTGGGCGAGGCCCCCAGGGCTCCTGGAAGGACCACAGTAAATTAGGTGACACCTCCAAGGCCTAACATGGGCAGCCTGCAGCAGCTCCGCCTTGCAGCCAGGCCTCCCTCGGCAGGGAGTCTTGCTCCCTGAGAGCTGTCACTTTTCTAGAACCTCCCTTCTCCCTTTGCTTCCAGTTGCAATGGGCCTTTCCTCCCTTCATCATCTTCTGTGTCTCTGTGTCCCCTGCTTGTTTTCGGCTCTCTTCTATGAGTCCTTTGGTATAATGAGATAATGTCGATGATCTTGAATATAATCACATATGGCTGCTGGATCCATGCACAAGTTTAAATCAAATTAGAAAGTAAATTCACTGCCAAGAATGCTTAAAAGTCATAGGGCCAACTGATTAACCACTGACAAGTCAGTTTCCGACTCTGTTTTCTAAACTGTAAGTGATTCATATGAGGGGACTAAAAGGGAATCACTCCCCAGATTGAACACTGCAGACAGAACCAAGCAGCCTGCTCAGGATACGACGGCTACCAGAAAATGCAAGTCAGCCAAAACCGTATTCATTACCAAATAAGAAAGCAGACACAGAAAATCATCTTGATGGTTGAGACCATCCTCTAAGTGGACAGATAATTTCTGTTTTCCCCTGTCCCAGATGCCATTCTCCCCAAGACTCATGTTTCCTCACCAGCTGGCTCCAACCTTCCTAGCCAGATGTTAGAGCCCCCAGGCTCTGGGCCGCAGACCCCTGACCCTGCTCCAAGCTGTCAGGCCCTGCCCAAACTCCCCTGAGACCCACCACCCTCACCCCGAATCCCCCTCCCCCCACCCCCACCACCAAGGTTTCAGCCTCCCCCAGCCAGGGCCTGCCTCTCAAGAGGGCGAGAGTGCGACTACCCAGCCCAGTCTCAAACAAAAGACAGGCCAGGGTGTGTGTCTGGAGGCCCTGACCCTCCCGGAATACAGAGTGTGGGGAACTGCATCTAGGCAAAGCTGGGCTAGTGCTTCAGTGTCTGTTTCTCCACAAGGACAAGTAAGAGCCATTTCATGACATTTAAAAGCTATTTTCTTGAAGTTGTTTCCGAACCCAGGTGAGGCAGGAGATCAATAATGCCATTATTTGTAGTCACCCTAAACTAAGAACAAGCCAAGAGGCCGGGCAAAGCTCATGCCTGTAATGCCAGCACTTTGGGAGGCCAAGGTGGGCAGATCACCTGAGGTCAGGAGTTCGAGACCAGCCTGGCCTACGTGGAGAAACCCAGTCTCTACTAAAAATACAAAATTAGCCAGGCGTGGTGGCAGGCACCTGTAATCCCAGCTACTTGGGAGGCTGAGGCAGGAGAATTGCTTGAACCCAGGAGGCAGAGGTTGCAGTAGGCCAAGACCATGCCATTGTACTCCAGCCTGGGCGACAAGAACAAAACTCATCAAAAAAAAAAAAAAAAAAAAAAACAGCTGGGCGCAGTGGCTCACGCCTGTAATCCCAGCACTTTAGGAGGCTAAGGTGGGCGGATCATTTGAGGTCAGGAGTTCAAGACCAGCCTGGCCAACATGGCGAAACCCCGTTTCTATTAAAAATACAAAAAAATTAGCTAGGTGTGGTGGTGGGTGCCTGTAATCCCAGCTACTTGGGAGCCTGAGGCAGGAGAATCACTTGAAGCCGGGAGGCGGAGGTTGCAGTGAGCAGAGATTGCACCACTGTACTCCAGTCCGGGTGACGGAGCAAGACTCCGTCTCAAAAAAAAAAAAAAAAAAAAAAAAGCCAAGAAACGAGCCGAGAGCTTGAGCCAGTGCCCTGAGTCCTGCCCACCGCAGACAGCGCCGGGGAGCGGGGAGGATGGGGGTTCTCGTGGCCAAAAGCATCCATGTGGCAGCTACCACTACCAGGGGCTCCCTCTGCCAGCCATGTTGTTGTGAGTGTTTCAGAATTCAAGCAGAAACAATTAGAATAATGAAGCCTGCCAACAGGCTAGACACTTCCTGTTGGAGGCCACAGGCCAGCCTGAGCCCCACCACCAGGGGCAGCGGGGCTCAGGACCCAGGACAGGGAGGGAAGGAAAGGGGTGGACTTTGCTTTGGAACCATTGCCCGACCCATTCTCTTCTGGGTATTAAGTGGACAGAGATGTTTAGAGTTTGACATGCAAAATTAAGTTAAGCTTAACTCATCCAGGCTGAGAAAACGGAAGCCTTTAGTTAAACCATCTCTAACCCGGACATGAGGACAGCTCTAACCCTCAGCTGCCCAAGATCTGGACCCACAGGCCACTCCAGGAAAACAGAGAGGGTGGCTGAGCACTCCGGAGCCCTCAGGCGGCACCGCATCCAAAATACCTGCTCGAACCTACAGCAGCCTCGCCCACATCATGGCTCAGCAGAAGCCTAACTCACAACTCAAGCTGATTCCATGACAAGAAGGCATCGCAGAGGCTGAAGCCCACTGACAGCCCCTACCTAGAGGTGAAGGCCAGGCTTAGCCAGAAAAAGCAGGCTCTGGGTTTAGATATTCAGCAGAGAGCTTGCAAACCTGGATCCCTGCCTCCTCTCTGACCACTAGTATTTGCAACTGAAAGCCAACATTCCCTCTACCAAATTTCTTTTGTCATGTTCATATTAAAATAACTCCAAGTGTAATATTTGAATCTGAAAGGCCGCTTTAGAGATGAGCCAGATGGGCCAGTATCAGATAGCACAGGAATGGGCAAATCATTGCTGTTGCTTCAGGCAAAAGAAGAAAGAAAGACCTGCTAGTTTTTCTGAGGATTTTTTGAGGTTTGGGGTTTTTTTAATGCGTTTTGTGAAAATTTTGCAACTCATTTGGCAATAGCCAGATTTTTAAAGCCCTGGAAGAAGCTTCTAAGCATCGGTGATCCATGTTAAGATCTAAGTGTGCTGTAAAGCAGGCAGATGGGGAGTTAAAAGGCAAAGCCCACGTTCTCCTGATCTAGTCCAGAGCCCAAAGGAAGCTGCCGTGTGCTCCAGCTTCCACGGAAGACTCCCCACAACCTGAGGTCTGACAGAGTTCTTGGCTTTAGAGGCTGAAGATTCACTCATGCCAGGAGTCACGGTCCCTCCCTCCTATGTGACAAGAGCCTAGTCACCTGCCAGGAGACCTAGTGGCTCCAGTGGTCCTGATCTTTGGCTGGCCAGGCCTAAAGCAGGTGCTGCTGGGGCCCTCCCTGGGGACCTGCCCACAGGGCTGGGTTCTGGGCTGGGTCTGGTGGAGGATGAGGGGGTCATCCTGAAAGCAGAGGGGAGGGGAGTGGCACTGGTCCCACAGCTGCTGCTCTGCAGGCCTCTGCCTTCCCTGAACCTCTCCCAGGACCCTCTGAAGATGAGGGAGAAAGGAAACACCCTCACACGTCCTCAGCCTGTGTGCCCAAGGGCCCGTGGGGCATCCCGCCTGCACTCAGCACTCCCAGTAGCCCGTGAAGCCAGGCGTGCACCATGCCCACTGTGCAGAGGAGAAACTGAGGCTGGAAAAAGGCTTAAGTTACTTGTCCGAAGCGGGGGCAGGGGATTCAGCACAGTGACACAACCTGGAATAATTCTCTGTTCTTTCCAGCTCCAAACACTTCAGAGGTTTTCAAAATGTAGTGTCGTCCAGAATCATCCCAACAGCTTGGCAAAATTCAGGTTCCAGGGCCCTGCCATGGAGCGTGCCAGGTGAGGCCTCGCCTCCTAGATTAGCTGTGGCAGTGCGGCTGTGGCTCGGACTTTGAGCGGCCCGCTCCCCCACAGTCCCTGGGAGCAGTCTCAGAAGCATGGGGACAGTAGAGGCATTTCCACCTCCAGGCCTTAGCTCCGTGGCGCCTGGGTGTGCTCATTTACTGTCTGTGAACACATGTTTGGCAGAGGGATTTTGGACCGAGTGGGAAAAGTCAGTACTTACAGGTTCCTTGAGCACAGGGTCATTTTGTGAGGAGAATGAGACTCCTCTTCGTTTTCATTTCCAGATGCATTTTTCATATTAATCATTCCAAGCACTTACTGCCTGAAGTCCCCAGGGCACTCACAGAGCACCTGGGTGCAATCCTAATTAAAGGCGGAGGCCTTGGTCAGCCCACGGACCACCTCATTATCCTAACAAACTGCTTGACGGGGCAAAATGCACAGCCTCTCTGACAGGAAGAGAAGCGATTTAGCAAACGAGGTTTCATACTGTGTTCCAAATTCACCGGGACACTTTCCTTCCTCCCTTTTCCCTGCTGGTGGCCCCGGATCTAACCTGAATGGGGAAAGCCTGGGCTGTGGAGTCAGGCTTAGCCTCCGTTTGCGGTGTCCCTACTTGCCAGCTGTAATGCTTGTCTGGGCCTTAGTTTCCCTATCTAAACCATGAAGACAATAAAGTCAGCATCGCCTGCTTGTTCAAGGGTAAAGGGAATTAATGCATGTTCTGTGTGTAACACTGCCGGGTGCTCTGCAAGCACTCCAGATATTAGCCCAGTAATCAGTCAGCTAATTTAGGATGAGATGCCTGCCTTCCATTCAAGACGACTTTGCTAATTGGGAACACCTCTTTCCTCAACCAATTCAAACCATACACGACCTTCAGAGGCAGCTCAAGGCCACCATCCTCCAAAAAGCCTGTTCTGCCGCCCACGGCCGTCCTCCCGCTTCTCCCTGCTCTCGCACCCTCCGCAGCCTGCACGGCGCAACTTGGCACTCGGTGTGGTTCGTTGATTCGCGGGCCGGGGTCTGTTCACCTGCACGGACTTTAACTCCCTCACCAGGACGGGCCCATGGCTCCGCTTCTCTGGGTCCTGCACTGTGCCCAGCACAGTCTTCGGGACCTCCCTCCCAGCTTACTGCTAACCGATGTGATCCGTGAGAAAGCCGGCCTGTTGAGGTGCATAAAAGATCCACCTGTAGACGCCCGCCCAAGGACTCCCACCTGCGCCGCGTTCTGCACAGTACCTGGGTCCGCAGCCGGTCCACCTCTTCCGACAGGCTCTGCCTCTCCAGGAGAAGCTGGTTCTGCTTGCTGAGGAGCTGCACCAGCTGCTGGGCTGTGGCCTGGCTGTGCTTATCCAGCTGCCTTAGCCTGGAGAAAAATCCACCGCAGAATTAAAGAGGGATAACGTCAGCCTTTCAACAGGCCCAGGGGCTGTGTGTATCTGAGGGAAGCCCCTGATAGGGAACCATGAGCAGGACGCCTAGGGTGACCCTGAGGTGCCAGGCTCTGGCTGGCACTAGGTCCTTGGTACGCACTGTGTGAAGGTAACATTCTAGCAAATGTGCGTGGGAACTGGGAGCCATCTCAGTACACTATCAATTAGAAAACACGCAGATAAGTGGGGTAAGTAGAAGGAAAAGGAAGCTTTGAACTCCCAAGCAGAGGTCAAAGATGAGGGGCCTAAATGCCGCCATTGTTCAGCTGGAAAGGTCTCTGGCAGGCTGAGCAGACGGCCGCCCCGGCTGGGGAAGTGGGTGAGGGCCGTGGAAACACTGAAGTAAGGGTTTTCCATTATTAATCACTCAGTCAATCACGAGCTCCGGCATCGCTGACCAGATGTCTTTAAAGATCCTAAATTTGTCATTCTGCTGATGGGCGCTCCTCTCCAGACTTGCTAATTCACTCAGACCATTATCCTCATCTGTCCACAGTCGGCTTCCTACAGCCAGCAGCACAGTCACCCATGGAACTGTTGGCTTTGGATTAAATGTGGAATTGAACGACTACCCAGAAGTGTTCTGGAAAGAAGCGAGATGTGTGGCCTGCCTCACCGTCCTCACCCATCAAAAGCACCAGCAGGCACGTTAACTCGAATTCTCACAAGGAAAAGGCCATTAAAGCTCAAGGTGCATTTCAAACTCCAGGCTACTGAGCCGAAGGCCTCGTGGGCCGTTCTGCGGACACCGGCCTCTGGCTGCCCTCAGTCCGGGCTCTCCTGGGACTCCGGGCACAACTAAACTTACACGGCCACACGTTTGGGCCTTCGGGTTGGGATAGGTTCCTTTACAAAAAAGGCCGCACATGTGGGCACAGGTACCACTGCCCTCTGGGAAACCCGGCGATGGTCGGTACCTGCCTCCGGCGCTGCTCGGCCCACACCCTCCCATTTCCCCACGGCTCCCCCGGCCCTGCCCCATCGCCCTGCTCAGCCTCCGATGGATTTGGCTAGAGTCTTTGGTCCAGGGGCCCGAGCCCCCAGCCCTGACCCTTCCCCAGAACGCACCATGACTCCCTGTTTTCAGCCACACCCAGCGTTGTCCGGGTCTGCGGGGCGCCCTACCTGTGCCGGGGGAGGCGGGAGCAGCAGCCTAGGACCCCGCCCAGGCAGAGCCGGCACTACGCATGCTCCCAGGAAGCCCCGCCTCCCCGGGCTTGGCACCTCCGACTGCCACGCCCACAATTCCGCACCACCGCCCCCCTTGCCTGTCCCGACAAGGGCCTCCTGCTGCCCGCAGGTTCTGGAGAAAGTGTAAGGACTAAGGGACGCCCTGGCGCCTCTTTGGAGCCTGGGCAACAGCCAGGCCCTGCCCTGCCTCCAGGATCAGGCTGGCCTCAACAGAACAGCAAAGATCCTCCATCCAAGTAGGAGTGTTTCCCTGTGTGTGTGATGTATATATATGGTGATGCTCCAACACCCCACCTCATCCTTCCCTCTGATCTTGGAGGAAAAGTAGGTTTCCTTCTGGCAATACCTAAGGCCATCGCTGCTCTGGGAAGCCTCATCGGCCCCTACCCGTCCCCATCACGCTGGGGCTGAGGCAGCCTTTCCTGGGAGCTACCCTCAAAGCCACCCAGTGGATCACAGAAGCTCTCCTGCAAGGCCCCAGGGGGGGGCCCGGGCTGTCCTGAACAGTGAGCGGCCGGGAGAGAGGAGGACGTCCCGGGCCAGCGGACTGGGGAACCTGCCTAGGCCGACCCTCTGACACAGGCAGGCGGCCACCATTCATCTGAGCACCTGCCCTGCTGTGGGGCCCAGGAGTGGGTCCCATTGAAGAGACAGAGATGGTAACAGCTCTTTTCCTTGAGAAGCAGACAATCTGATGCTTCCGTATTTAAATTAGTGGGTGGAAAGCATCATTCGCCCTTGAGCTCTGGAACCCTAAGGTGGCTTTTCCCCTCCGATGAAGGCCTACCTGTGGAGAGAGCTACTGGCTAAGAGCAACTGAGGTAGCCCCGTGGCTTCCTGCTTGCTCGAAAAGAATGGAACAGAAACGTGACAAATGACATCATGACATTGCTGCATGGCAAGAAGGTGCCAGGAAACGTGACAAGTGACACCATGACATGGCTGCATGGCAAGAAGGTGCCACGAGCAGCCATTGTCCATGTGGTCCCTTGCCCTGTGCTTGGATCAAATGAGATGATGGTCCTTTGGACCGATGGGCTCAGTATGTGGTTTTGAACTCCTGAAAAGGGATGGCAGCCCATCCAGGGCAATGGGCAGGGCCAAAGCCGCTCTCACAGCATAAACACCGGTCACGGCCGGCCACCCTGGCTCCACCTTCAGCGATGGGGCCGGTTCTGGCCTAGACCTTCCTCCTATGGAGCCCTCAGAACCTGGAGGAGGTTTAGTCCAGAGTGCTTTGCAACCTGGGGGCCTGGGAAGGCTATAGCGATTACTGGGGTGGGAAGGAGGAAGGAGACACCACCCAGACCCCGCTGAATCAAGTGCCTGGGTGTGAGCCCCACAAGACAGCAGGGGACCAGCTGACCAGGATGTCCACACACAGAAGCACCCCTGCTGTGAGAAGTGAGATCCCTAAGAAGGGGCAGCTCTCCCTTCACAGCTAAGAGCTGAGGATGGATTCCAATTGACTCAATTTTTAAATCAACTTGAACACTCCCAGTATTACAAATATTGGGAAAAGAGATTTTTTTTTTTTTTTTTTTTTTTTTTTTGGAGGCAGAGTTTTGCTCTTGTTGCCCAGGCTGGAGTACAATGGTGCGATCTCGGCTCACCGCAACCTCCGCCTCCGGGTTCAAACAATTCTCCTGTCTCAGCCTCCCGAGTAGAGTAGCTGGAATTACAGGCATGTGCCACAACGGCGGCTAATTTTGTATTTTTAGTAGAGACGGGGTTTCTCCATGTTGGTCAGGCTGGTCTCAAACTCCTGACCTCAAGTGATCCACTCGCCTCAGCCTCCCAAAGTGCTGGGATTACAGGCGTGAGCCACCACGCCCGGCCCGAGATTGATTTTTTTTTTTTTCTTGATACGAAGTCTTGCTTTGTTGCCCAGGCTAGGGTGCAGCGGTGCTATGTCAGCTCACTGCAACCTCCGCCTCCTGGGTTCAAGCGATTCTCCTGCCGTAGCTGGGATTATAGGCTCCTGCCACCGTGCCCAGCTAATTTTTATATTTTTCGTAGAGACAGGGTTTCACCATCTTGGCCAGGCTTGTCTTGAACTCCTGACCTCATGATTCACCCACCTCAGCCTCCCAAAGTGCTGGGATTACAGGCATGAGCCACCGCGCCTGGCTGAGATTTTTTGAAAGTTATTTATTTTTGGAAAAGCCTCCAACCCTGCACAAACCAGCCTACCCTCTGTTAATGGCTATTTCATTGCCATCATTCATTCAGAAGAGATTTCTTGGGGTGTCCTAGACACATAAGCTCTCTTTTCTTTTCCATGGTGGTTACTGCTCTGTCATATTTGTGGTGTTGAGTTCACCTCTTCATCCACCCACAGTTTCAAATAGCACTGTTGATGACTGCTAACACCTTGAGCCCCTGGGCTCACTGCGCCACAATTACCTATGTAAATTTCATTAATAAACTACCTGTTAAATTCAATAATTATCTTAATTAAAAGTTCACTATAGTCCTAGGAGGTACATGCTAGTATCATCCCCATTTCACAGATGAGAAAACAAGCTGAGATGTTAATTAACTTGCACAAAGTCACACAAGTAATCGGTAAAGCTCGGAGTCAAATCGAGCCAGCGCCCAAGTGTCCTTAACCATCGTTAATGGTGGTTAACTCACTGAGTTAATTCACCAAACGAACCAAGCCTTGCTAAACACCTCTCTTCTTCTGCTTCTTCTTCTTTTTTTTTTTTTGAGATGGAGTCTTGCTCTGTTGCCCAGGCTGGAGTGCAGTGGCATAATCTTGGCTCACTGCAACCTCTGCCTCCTGGGTTCAAGAAATTCTCCTGCCTCAGCCTCCCAGGTAGCTGGGACTATAGGCGCGCACCACCACACCTGTCTAATTTTTGTATTTTTAGTAGAGATGGGGTTTCACGATGTTGGCCAGGCTGGTCTCTAACTCCTGACCTCGTGATCTGCCCGCCTTGGCCTCCCAAAGTGCTGGGATTACAGGCGTGAGCCACCGCGCCCGGCCAACACCTCTTAAGGGTCAAGTACTGATTTAAGACCTGGGGGTCCATCAAGAATGACAAATGCTCCCGGCTCTCGGGCGGTTCCCGGCCAATGGAGGAGAGACTCACTTGTAAAAAAAACATGCTCAACTCAAACAGGACACTGAGGCATGAAGAGAAATGGCCAATATTGCAGATGAGAAGCCTGGGAGGGCTTGCGCCTGCTTAGACATGGCTCATGATCGTCGTATGCTGAGCACTTTTATGTCGGGCACTAGACTTACTGTTTATTTAGCACTCACAATTCCATGAGGCAGGAACTAATTATTATGCCACTTTAAGGTTAAGGAAACTGAGGCACAGACAACATGAATCATTGATTCAAAGTCACTCAGCGGGCAAGCTGGGATGGGAAAGGATGAGTGGGTGCTTTTCTGGCCAGGGCCAGGGGCGGGGCCTTCCCACTTCGGGGCCGCACTGCAAAGGCCAATGCGTGTCTGGAAACTGCAAGCTGTGCAGTGTGGCTGCACCAGAGGCTGCAGGCTGCTCAGAGGAAGGCGACGCTGGACTCTGTAGCCAAACCAGCAAATATGGACTTCGTCCTGCAGGCAATGGCAGTGCCATTTAACAGACAGAGGATGGCAGGAGGGATCGGCCTGGCGTAGAAGAGACGTTCTGGGGTCAGGGCGAGTCCGAGGTACCTGTGGAACACGCACCCACCAGGCAGCTATGCAACTTGGGGCTTAGGAAGGGCCGAGCTGGAGCTCTAGCTGGGTGGGCCAAACCTGCTGGGAGGCGAGACCATGAACGTGGGGGCAAGATTTGCCTGGGAAGGGTTGGCAAAGATTGTCAGTGTGGGGAGTTTGTTAAAAATGCAGCTCTCCGGGCCCGCACGACCCCCCTAGCTGAGAAGCTCTTCTGCAGTGAGAGGGAAGGGCTCGCCCCAGGATAGGGGTTAAGGAACCTCCGCCTTCAATGGCTGGCAGTGGACTGGAATCCGGCAAGACACTGAGAGTGGGATCCTGGAGGGAGGAAAACTGGGAGACGGAGGTCCAGGGAGGAGAGGGGTCAGGGCGGAGTGGCCGGTTTGTGGGAAATGCCACCTGGTGGCGGAGCGCCCTGCGGAGCCTCCTGGCTGGGGCAGAAGCCAGATTTCAGGGGCTGGAAGAGAAAGCCTCTTCTGGTGAGGGGCTGGGCTGGCGGGGAGGTCGCGAGACGGGGTGCGGAGGGTGGGAGCCACCGAAGCCGCTGGGGAGGAGGCACTGGAGGAGAGAGGGGCAATCTTCACGGCAGAGGACGGCGGACTTCCCAAGGGAGGAGGGCGCCTTAGGCAGAAGACTGAGACCCTCCCCCCGAGGCAAGAGTGGAGGCGGGAGCAGGGGCGGGTCGCGGAGGGCGCTCGTGCTCAGCAGCCTCCAGGATCCCCCACGTAGAGGGCACCGCTGTTTGCGAGAAAGGCGACGAGGCAGCGGGGTGGCGGCGGGGACGCTGCTGCGGGGACGAGGGCGCCGGCGGGAGGCAGGGACACGCCGCCCAGCCCAGGGGGCGCGCTCCGAGGAAGACCCGGGCGCCCGCCGCCTCCTCCCCGGGCTCCGCAGCCGCCGCCCCGTGCCCTCCACCTGCGACCTTCACCCCCCTCACCGTCGCCACGGGCCTGGAAACCTCTTCCAGCGTCCGTTTCAGGGCGACTGTCGTTTTGAGAGAGTGCAATTTCTTGTTCTGTGTGTCTTGTTTTTAGCCTTTTCTTCTAGGAGGCATTAAGTCATGAACGGGGCGAGGGGGTTTGCCATCATGGGGCCCGCGGAGTCTGTTTAGGCAGCAGCCCCCGCTGCAAGAAGCCCCCCACAGCCTGCGAACCACACACGCCCTCCATGCGGCAGGAAACACAGAATCGTCCGATTTCAGAGCTCAACCCCTAATTCAGACCCTTCTTTCCCGCGCCTTTATCTCATCTTTGCAACAGGCAGGGATTGCATCCAGGGCCCCCAGGATGTGGTTGCTATCTTCACTGTGCTGTCATGGAGCCCTGGGAGCTGTGGCCAGGCCCCATCAGGGGCAGGAAGCCAGTCCTCCTCCCAGGAAGCCCCTGTGCTCCCCGGCCCTCACAGCACAGCGTAGGGTCCGCGGGTCCATGAGGAAGGACACTTGAGGGAGCCTGCACCCAGGCTGGTGCGGCCGTCCTAATCTCAGGCACAGGGTCCATGTCCTTCAGGATCTGCAGATGAACAACTGCCACCCCTGCCTGGGTAGGACTGGGGACCCTGAGGGAGAAAAGCAGCTGCCCCATGCAGGGGTAGAATGGGCAGCACGGGCTCCCCTTCCACGCAAGGGCATCCCAGGAATTTCAGGCGTGTCAGGGGCAGCAGTTACCATGGGAACAAACACGCCCGGGTTTCTAAAGGCAGATGCTGATGAAATCACAGGGGACTCATAAGAGTGCTGGGCCCAGGCAGATCTCCATTGGTCCAACAGCGATCCTCTGAGCCACACCCTGCAAGCATGATCAGAACCAGCATTTAAAAAAATATGCAAGGCTTCAAGATAAGATGGAGCAAGTGGTGAAATACAAAACAACTTTATAGAGCTGAGTGGGCTGGGGAAAATATCTTATGCAAAACAGAAGCGGTGCAAGCTGCCAGCTCTGGTCCTATGCTTCAGACACTCATTTGCTATGAATACTGTGAAAGCAAGTGAATACATAGATTTAAATTTTTTTATGTTGTATGTGATACATACAAAATATATGCAATGTATACATAAGTCATGAGGTATAATAACCAAATGAACACTTGTGAACCTAGCACCAGCTCCACAGGGCCACTACCAATGGATTTCTTCTCCAGGCCAGCCCCTTCCTTCCCCAGAGGGGGCCTATATCCTTATGCGTGTATGTTTTTCAATGAGAGTTTTTTGCTTCACTGGACAATTCCCCCTGGGAGCTACCTACGGACTACAGTGGAAGGTTTTAGTTGTTGTTTTGGGGTTTTGTTTTGGGTTTGGTTTTGGTGGTAGTGGTAAAATCCTTTGTTCTGAAATGTTTTCAGACCAGAGCCTCCTCCCTGTGGTCACTCTGACTACAGCTAAGATTGTCCTTCCTCTTAGATAAGTGTTCTCAAAGTGCTTAGACTCACTATTTCCCTGGGAGCGGCGTCTTCCTCATGGAAATGAAGAACATTTTTCAAACAACATATGGATTTCAAAGGTGCAAATACATGAACTGTAAAATATGCACTCACTTTTCTACTCCTCCCAGTGGCCTCCTCTAATGTTTACTGAGCATTTACTAAATGCCCAACATTGTAAGCATTTTACATTCCCTAATTTAATCCTCATAACAATACTACACGTTACTTTATCATCTGCATTTTATGCATGAGAGAAGCAAGGTGCAGAGAAGCGATCATTTGCCCAAGCGCACACAAGGTAAGGCAGAGCCAGGATTACCTAAGCCACCAAGGCCACAGAGCAAGGCCCACAGTGCGACTCATCACTCTCCTTCTTAGACTCTGTACAGGTCTCTCACTCCCCTTTGGTCCCTCTTCCTCCTCCATCAGACCTTCAAATGCTGGTGTGACCCAGGGCTGGGCTCAGTGCTCTCCTGACTGGAAATGTTCCGCCTGCATGATTTTTAAAATCTACACTCATGACTCCAAGTGGAGAGGCCAAGGATCCTGAGCACTTGATCTCAGCCTCGGGCCTCTCTCTTGCATTTCCAAGCCCACCTCAAACTCACCACCTGACACACTGGAGTCACCTTCTAATGCTCCTCTCTCTGTGACCCTCTCAGTGGGTGGGACCACCCCTAGTCACCATCCCCACAGCTCAGTCTCCTGGTTCCACAGATGAGCCCTCTAGGCCTTCTGAACCTCTCCCATCCCATCCCATCCCACCCACCCATCCATCCATCCCACCCATCCATCCATCCACCCATCCATCCACCCCACCCATCCATCCATCCATCCATCCATCCCACCCATCCATCCATCCATCCATCCCACCCATCCATCCATCCCACCCATCCATCCATCCATCCCCCATCCATCCATCCCCCATTCATCCATCCCACCCATCCATCCATCCATCCATCCCACCCATCCATCCATCCCACCCATCCATCCATCCATCCCACCCATCCATCCATCCATCACACCCATCCATCCATACCACCCATCCATCCATCCATCCCACCCATCCACCCATCCATCCCACCCACCCATCCATCCCACCTATCCATCCATCCATCCACCCATCCATCCATCCATCCCACCCATCCCACCTATCCATCCATCCATCCCACCCATCCATCCATCCATCCATCCATCCATCCATCCCCCATTCATCCATCCCACCCATCCACCCATCCACCCATCCCACCCACCCATCCATCCCACCTATCCATCCATCCATCCACCCATCCATCCATCCCACCCACCCATCCATCCCACCTATCCATCCATCCATCCCACCCATCCATCCATCCCACTCATCCATCCACCCATCCATTCCATGACCTTCACTCTTGAAGTCCAGCTGCCAGCACTTCACATCCAGGTTCCTGCACAGCCTTCTCATAGAGTTGTGTGCTTCCACACGGCCCCCTGGAATCCATACTCCCCGCAACAGCTAGACTAGAAGGATCTCTCTAAACAAAACTGCAGCCCTGCCTCTCTGCTTGATGATTACTTATAGCTCTAATCCTAATCCTATGAGTGCTGAACTTGGAAATGGGGGACATCACAAGCTAGCTATTTTACCTTAAGCCTGAGACTGAGTATCTCTCTCAACCTCAGGTTCTCCATTTGTAAAATGGAGAAAATAAGATCTCCAGACCTGAACCATCAACTCTGAGGGTGGGGCCCAGCAGCATGTGTTTTAATAAGGCCCCTGGATGACTCTGATGAATTCTTAAGCATGAGAACCACTGGTACATTCTAATTCACAGTATTAATCACACATACGAAATGAGTTCTTCTGGAGAATAATTTTTGTGTGGCTTCAATTTTCATCATCAAAACAACCAACTGTCTACATGAAAACTCTCCTAGTCTGCTCCTAAAATACTCTGGCGTCAGTCATGAGAACTTAAGTAAATCCTGTGATCACTTTGAATCTCAGTTTCCTCACATGTGAAATGAGAGGAGAAAACTAGAAGTGAGGTCGGCAAACTTCAGACTACAGGCCACTGCCTGTTTCTGTATGATCTGCCAATTGAGAGTGATTTTTACATTTTAAAATGATTTTTAAAAATCAAAAGGAGTATAATATGTGAACACTGCATGAAATTCAACTTGCAGCGCCCCTAAATAAACTTTCATTGAAACCCAGCCATGCCCATTCATTCACGTTTTGTCTATGGCTGCTTTTGCACCATAACGGCCGAGTAGCTGCGACAGAGAACATATGGCCATGGAGCCTACAATATTTATTACCTGACCTTTTAAAGTTTGCCAGCCTCGGGGCTAGAAGATGACTACATTCTCCTCCAGCTCCATATTTCTACAATCCTATTACTTTACAGATTTTACTGTGTTCCTATCTTCAAATATCGCTAGCTATTTACATAGCAATACACCTAGTCAGCAAGCTGAAGTTTTGAAAATGCAATTACTGCTCTAGGTCATTAATTCTAGTGAATAAACCATGTTAATGTAAAGCTGTATTACTTTGTTCCAACACTTAACCATTGCTGCGGCATTTTACATAATTCCATCTCGTGAACGAGGTCCTATCAGTGAGAACAAGCAGTGTGCTGAGGCTTCCGGAACACGCTCTAGCCCATTATCCTTGCTCAGAACATTAAGGCACTTTCTTTTTTTTTTTTTTTTTTTTTGAGACAGAGTCTCACTCTGTGGCCAGGCTGGAGTGCAGTGGCACAACCTCGGCCCACTGCAACCTCCGCCTCCCGGGTTCAAATGATTCTCCTGCCTCAGCCTCCCGAGTAGCTGGGACTACAGGCACACACCACCACGCTCAGCTAATTTTTTTTATTTTCAGTGGAGTTGGGGTTTAACCACGTTGGCCAGGATGGTCTCGATCTCTTGATCTCATGATCCGCCCACCTCAGCTTCCCAAAGTGCTGGGATTACAGGCGTGACATTAACGCACTTTTAGTGGCTGGTTTGCTGTTTACATTTCCCGTGCCTAAATCTACCCTATTCAATAATGGTTTCAATAAAGGAATTCTTCCTGAGGATCGTGCAGTGGGGAGGGGGTACCACCTTCAATGAAGAGAATGTATGTCCTGTACTGCCCCTTTCCTGGCTCATTCTCTCAGATTCCTAATTAGCCTTGGCTGCCTGCAGAGGAAGAACAGGGGGCTCCTTGGGGATGCCCCCAAGTGATGGGGGGATCAAGTCCTGCTCTTCTCATGAAAAGAATCATATTATGTTAGGGCTGAGAGGCACCTTAGAGAACATTCAGTTCAGCCCATTATGGTGAAGCCAAGAAAGTATAAGTGACTTGCCCAAGGTCAGGCAGCCTGTCTGTAGTAAATCTGGCGCTAGAGCCCACATCTCTTGACTCTAAATCCAGTGAGCTTTGCAGCATCTCAAAATCCTTTTTTGAAACGCCCGACATTCTTCTATTCCATGTCAAACTTGAGAATTTAAGGGAAGGACCCTGAGAGAGAGAACACGCTGGGTAACCTTCTGGGCAGCAGCTGACACCAGTTCATTTTCCGAGGCCTGGGGGCGGGAGAAGAGGGAAATCCCTAGGCCAGGGATTCCCCAATGAGCTCAGTGAGGAGAACCAGACTTGATTTTAATTCTTTTAAAATTTCCAATCTATTGTAGACTAATGGTTTTGTGGAGTACAATAAAAAGGAGGAAGCAGTGTTTGATTGTTTTGAAAATTTCTGACTCAATTTCAGTTCTTGCCTCATCCCAGACCAGTAACAGTTTGAGGACCGTACTCTGGAAACCACACTCTGAGCCACATTGATCTCATCCACAGACTGGTGTTGGCACAAAGGATGCAAAAGAGGCCAGAAGCTTGGAAGACCATGTTGGGAAGCCCACAGTGCCACACTGGCCCCCAGTGAATGGGCCCATGGCCAAGGGGACACTTTCAGCTCTTCAAGCTCCAGCACAGCTGCCTCTGACAGGAACCTAAAGCCTCTGACAATATCACCGAGGCTCTTCAAAGACCAACTTCTTCAAACAGTGCTTCTACCAAAAAGGAGGCACAGCTTCATCTTAGGGCAATTAGATCTGTTGAATCACTACCTTGTAACCTTCTTAAAATACAAGTGCTATCGAACCAAGGCTGAGTTTGTAATACCTTTGGAAGACTGGGCATGAATAAAGGATCCTGACACCATGAAACAGGAGTTGACACGTTATGAATCTTAGACTTTGAAGAACCTAGAAGACCATCTGCCTGAAGTAAGAGTTACCTTAATCAGCTTTGTCTCAAGCAAGAACAGACTAATGGTGAGGATAGCCCCACTGTGCAAAGGAAATGGGACAGAGGAATGGAAATTGTTGAAAATCAGAATCTTTGCAGAGTAGTATCTATGCTGCATGTGGCTCAAGGCCATACAGAAGCACCAGCAGGAAAACCCACACTGCCACGCACACTGTACCCTACCTCACCCTAAAGCCGTCCTTAAAAATGGGTTTATTTGGAAATAATGTCAAACTTATAAAAAGTTGCAAGAATATTACAGAGAATACCAACATACCCTTTATTCAAATTCACCTACTGTAATAATTTTGCCCCATCTGATTGATTACGCTCTCCTGCCTTTCTCTCTGTGTGTGTGTGTGTGTGTGTGTGTGTGTGTGTGTACAGAACCAGTTGACAGTAAGCTGCATGCACCATTGCCCTTTTATCTTATATGCTACAGTGTGTATTTCCTAAGGATAAAGGCATTCTCTTACAGAACCACAGTATATTACCAACTACAGTCAATTTCATATTGATCTAATAGCTTCATCTAACCTACTGAATTGGATTCTAATCTTGTTGACTGGCCCAATAATGTTCCTTTCTTCCCACTCCAGAAAAGATCCTTCATACTTAGTTGGCATGTCTCTATTTAGACTTCTTTAACCCAGAGTGATTACAAGCCAGTTTTATTTTGTTGAATGCTATTTGCAACTGAATTACCAATAGTCTTAACGGAAGACATGGAACTATCAGACGCATGGAGGTCCTGTTCAGTTGCCATCTTGGGTTTGGGGGGCACACTGCTGTGTTTTCAGGAAGTTTCTGTTTGAATGGGGACTTTCTGGTGCTCCCAGAGACTAAAACCCTCCTGGTGTGGTCCCAGAGTATGTCACGTTCCACACTGTGGTGAGGTCTTCCTCAATTTCCTTCATATTTGACCATTCTTGGGATAGTCAAACTAGCCACAGAGGTGTGATGGCATAAGATTGGGCCCACAGCAGCTAAGTAACCAGATTCAATCACTACAGCCCACTTATTGGCACACATCTTAATTAGGTTTTAATGCAAGTAATTTGATAACAACTCCTGGCCGTCCGCTACGGAACCGTCAATGCTGAAAGCTTTTTATTTAGCTCCTCTTCTGTCCAAACCAAGGCAGCCTCCCCGCTGACCCTTGTCAAAGAACCCCATCTGCTGGTTGCCACGGTAACTGAAGGCGACCAATTGAGCTGAACAGAGTGACTCAGAAATAAAATCTGCAGCCAAAGGAATTCTGCAAAGAGCAATAAATCATTCAGTAAAAGGGGGTCCTCCACACACTGATGAGTGTTGGGATAATATGATGGCATAACTCTTCCAGCTAGAAGGTCCATGACAGATCAGAGTGATTAGGCCTGCTGGAGGGCTCATTTGGTTTCTAGTGGGTTCCAGCAGCAGACGAGATGGAGCCTGCCCAGTTGTGTGCCACTGTGGGGGAGAAGGAATACGCGGAGTCAATTTTTAATATTTGGGCTGCAAAATTTTGCTTTTTGAGGAGTGGCAAGAGAACCAGTCTAGGCTTCCAACACCCCTTCCTCTATTTTTCAAAAGTAGCACACGTTCACAGAATGCCCCATTTTAGCCCAAAAAGCACCTTGAGCCTTGAGGAAGGTGACAAAGAACAAATACCAAGATTGCTTTGCAATATGCCAGTTTAGCACCATCTCTCTGTCATCAATCAACTTTTAGGTGTTCCAACCAGAAACCCTCTGTGTGCATAAGCCTTGGGTCCTCGCGAAAGCAGGGGAGAGCCTGGGATTCAACTCAGAGGCCCCAGAGGATCTCTGAGGATGATCTGAGAGCGGACGAGGGGTTTGTCTCTCCCCAGGACTGGGTCAGTGTTGCTTATGGAGCCCCATACACATCCTTCCCACATTAAGATTTCCTGAGTAAGAGGCGCCGGAGGGAAGGGGGAGCAGGGGCCTTCTTCCAGGCTGCTCCCGGTTACAGTACACAGTGGCCCCTCACCCCTCACACCACAGGCCATGGGTCCCAGTCACAGCCCCCACTCCTGGTGAGCACCTGCTGGGTAGACTCGGAAACCCCTGCAGGCAATAGAAAGACCCCCGCCCCAGACATGCTAAACCATCCAGACAGTATTCACTGCTATATGTCCGTCTCTTGGTTGTGTTGGGAGAAGCAAAGCTTAGTGGCGGCGGTAGAACTGCCCTGATAGCAAATGACAACAGGAGAGGGGCTGTAGGACAGGGCTCAGGGCCTGTGCGTGTCCGGGAGGGGCTGCAGGACAGAGCTTGGGCCTGTGCGTGTCTGGGGGCGGCCTGCCCTGCCAGCTCCTCTCCTCCCAGGCTGAATGCCACCTTTTACAGAGGTGCATTGGCAGGATCCGGACATTCCCCCAATCCCTGACCCACATGGCAATGGGGTACCCTATTACTAAGTCATCCCTAGAGATAATTTTCTGCTTCAGAAAAGAGCAACTGCTAAACAGAAGGTAGATTTTTCCCCGATTCTAAATGCTGCCAATAAAATGCTTCAGTCTCGGAGTTGAGTGAAATTCCGTTGACGGAGTTAGGAGCGGCTGTGCACGTTCAGGACGAGCCTCCTCCCTTACTCAACCAGTCCGAGGAGGAGCGCATCTAGCCGAGCCCTGCGCTGCCACGCCGCGTCCCGGGAGCTCCCAGCCTGCCTTCCACCCCACGCTGGGCAATTGTGCCTCTGCAGGTGGAACAGACCGCAGGGCTCCACGTGCGCCTCCCGCACGCCAGCACCTGCTCTCGGGCCACCGCGGAGCGCTCCAGGCAGGAGACACCCCTCTCCCTCGCCGGGCAGGGTGGCCTAGGCGGCCAGGTCTCAGCGCTGCCGGGCGGTGCACCGTCCTCTCGGCCTCCCTGCCCACCCAGACCTCCCGGCGGCTGCTTCGACTCTGGATACTAGGCCCGGGCTCGGCCGAGTCCCGAAGCCGCGCGAGAGGGCCTGGAGCCCGCACCTGGAGGGCAGCCGGCCGGGGCTTGGGGAGGCTGGGTGCGGAGCATCTGGCTCAGGCGACTCCACGGGGGCTCGCAGGGCCTCTGGACTTTGGCAGAAGGAGAGGATTAAACCGGGATGACGGTTGAGAGGAGGAGATGGGTGAAAGCTTCATTAACTCCATGCTCACGTCCCAAGTTCTTTCCCCTGAGAGGCAATGAGTAAAAAGGTTGATTTCCCCGCGATGGGAAAGGTGCTGCGTGATTGCATTTGCTTTTCTTACCTTTTAATTCCTTATTTGTAAACCAATGAATCATTGTTTGTCAGTGATCATGAAGGACTCAAATTTTAATAAACAGGAAAAAAAAAATCTTGGCTAATAGGCCAAAGAAATACTGCAACCCGTTTACATTTCTATGTTAGTGATTAAGCTTCTCATGTGACTTAATTGAAACTGGCAAGGATCTTGAGAACTCAAAGAAGTACTCCCCCGGCCCCCCCCCCCCCCCCCGCCGGCAACTCTCCTCCAATAACCAAACTCATTTGTAAGACCCCTCCTAAAAAGTGCCATGGAAAATGGAGCTTCCTGATTCCATAAAAATATTTTCAGTAAGTACTGCTTCATGACAGTTGTTCAGACTTGAATTCCCTTCCTCTCTTTACAAAGTTACCGTTTAGTTTCACTTCTGAGCCCTACTTCCAATTCTTTGTCTCTGCTCACTCTCCCGCTTTCTCCTCCATATTTCAATTCCCAGACACTCTTGAACTTTTGCACACGCTGCCAGTTTGAGCCTGCACAGAATAATCAGTATATTAATTCCACTCGGAGACAGTGAGATTTTTCTAACACAATCTGCCCAACCTGAACTCTTTCCTTCAGAAACACTTCGCCTTTAAAAAGAAACTTCCCAGCATGAACCTCATAAGAAGCGACATGTAACAGACAGTGCATGTGGCGCTGGGCATGCAGCTCAGAATTAAAAGAGAATTTTTTACTTTGTTTCTTCAGTGCCATGTGCATAATGTACATGTGGATGAAACTGACATCAGACATTTAAAGCAAGAAGGGGTAGGGGGAGGGGGATGTGATGGTGGCGGGAAAGAGAGAGAAAATATGTTGATAAAAACAGTAACTTCTGTTAATCTACATTTTTCAGTCACTGTCTTAATTAAGAATGTTAGGAAATATGTTGCAGTTTAATTGCATTGTTTCAAGAAATTCTAAGACTGACAAATTTGGGACCATGTACACTTGGAAGGTAAAAGAGATTAAAGTAGGGATTTCTTCCAATTGGTGGATAACAATCAAAATTATGCTTTCTACAGACACACCCCCCACACCCCCGCAGAGATCCTAAACTCGGAAGACAAAGTAAGAATATCCTAGCACTTAACATGTTCAGCATGAAATGAGTTCTGAAAATTTAAAAACGTGTTTTAAAACCTAGGTATATGAGATAAATTTTAAATACAAAGAATTGACACAGGAGAAATAGTACTTTATCTGAAATTTCTGGTGGACATTTATGTTTGTAGAAAATATTTATGAAGGAATTTGGTAACAATCTTCAAGTGATTTTCAGATGACCTTGTTTAAGATAGTAAAAGTTGTTTGCTGGAGTCACAAATCCATAAAAATAATAACAGTTTGAAGACACTTGAGATTTCTAGACTTGTGTCCTGTTCTCCTGCTGGAGTTCAGTCACACATTCTCCAGGTTTCATTTCTTTTTTTGAGGAAGCCTTTGCATTGTTCCACAGCAAATAAATTAGAATGTATTTTCATTGCTCGAAGTACCTTTGAGGGAAGCTGCAGTAGGCATGACAGCTTCCTATTTCCCACAGTTGACCATAGGTGACTCATTTTCAGCCTGGACACAGCTGACCATAAGTGAATTCATTTTTAACCTGGATGCTGCATTTCTTACTTGCTTCCGTTTTTGGGGTCATTGCCTGTGAGAAAGGAGGAAGGGCACTCTGCCCCCATGGTGTGCAGCACAGACCAGGTACTGACCTCTTTCTCCAGCCCTGGACTTAGAAACAGACAAACAAACAAAAATGCCCACCAGGTACTGACCAGCTACTCTCAGGGACTCAAGCTGATGACTTAATTCAAACTGGTTTGATGATTTAGTCAGATAAATGGACAGGTTCTTTGACTGAATCAACTAGCCATTTTATCTTCCATTAAGCACAATGTATGACACACCTGGAGCCTCAGGCTTTGTTATCTACCCCAGAGAGGAGGCAGACCTAACTATATCAGCAGCTAAAGACACTGCACTGCATGTGCCATGACCCTGAAACATCAACAAAACAAGATCTGTTTGCCCTAAAAGGCAGCTGAAATGTCCAAAGAGCCTTCCTATGAGAAGAAACTCACCAGATCTGTTCTAGTTGTGAGGTCTCACTGCTTCTCCCGCCTCCAGCCTCCCAAAATAAGAATGGCCTGAGAACCTGACCACAGTTGAAATACTGCCCATGTGTTGCCAGCCTCACAGTGTTTCAGTTCTCCAATTTACAGTATATTCATACAGTATTTAAATTATGTATTAGAGAGTAGAATCCTGAGGTCTCAAATTGCTGAGTAAATGGCACCTGTGACCTAATAGTCCAATGCTTTCACTAGTATGAAATTAGAATAATTTTTTTTAATGCCACACATGAGGTCCAAAATAGTGATGCTACATATTTCTCATGTGCTTAACACCTAGGACGACGTAAAACTCCCAGTTAACTCATTAAGAAATGAAAGATTTTCCATCTCCTGAGGCTTCTGGGAATTCTGATGGGTGGATACATCATCCTCCCTCCACCCCCCAACCCCTGATAGCAGGGCAGCCTCCTCCGAAAAGGCCTTTGTCAAGAGGCACGAAAAGCTGGCCTGCTGAGCCTGGACCCCCCGTGGAGGGCCGAGGGAGAGGACACAGAAGAGGACTGGGGCATTATTAATTACCAGATTAGGGACAGAGTAGAGTTCAGGCAGACACAGAGGCAGACAGAACCCACGAGCGTAATAAGTTGAAAAGTTCCGAGTCAAGTCTCAGAGTTCGAAGAACATTAAATGAAGAATACATAATACTGGGGGAAAAAAGGGAAGCAGTACCCGCCCGAGGGCCAATTGCCTCTCCAGCAGCGGCAAGGCTGTTCCTGGGCTCGCAGGACCATTTGTTCCATTACACAATCTCCTGAAGCCATTTAGAGAGAGCTCAAACAACTGCCTGTACCAACACGACACATGGCTTCCCATCCCGACTCTGCTAATCCAGACGCTCCAACCATCTTTCCTTAAGATGCCATATGGTTGGCAGAAGCCTGTAGATCTAGCAGCACATCTGCTTGTACGTTTCTTCTTCCCTCCATCCCCCAACAAAAGAGGGATCGAGAGACAGACTGAGGGGAGAGCATGCTTGTGTACCTCTGCCTATACAGATATTTCTTCTTATGCACTCTAACAACAACAACTATGAAAGAGATGACCAGGAAGTATTCAGGGCTCGATCATTTTTAACTAGAGAACATAGCGATTTTTCTTTTGCTTGTTGATGCTATAGAAGAAGATGAGAAAAACAAAGGGTGGACAGTCTCCTTTCTCCCAAGGATGGTGACTTTAAAATCACTTCAAAGCTCGCTCTCTCTGGGAATCCTTGTGATGCTGTCTTGCCACAGGAGGGGGACAGCACCCTTGCCTGAATCTATTTCTTCTCTTCTTTTCGGTCAAGGAAGACAGACAAGCTGAGAAACTAGCAGATACCCAGAGCCTGCTTTGTTAGCAAGCACAGCACGGCTGTATGCTAATGAGTCGGCACCGACACAGGGCTTTTTTGGTGTGATGAGCAAAGATTGTTGACACCGTTGAAATCCTGGCTCCCCTGGCCTGTGAGTGCACGGGCTGCTTCCTTGGAATCCAGCCCCCAGTGAGACAGGCTGCAAAAAAAAGAAAAAAAAAAAAAGGAAAAGGAAAAAAAAATTCTACTCTCCTAATGACTGAAATCTGGCCATTTGTAACTTAGAGCAGTTGGGAAAAGTGGGGGCATTAGAAAAATATTCCATCAGGCCAGGGATCAAAAGACACAGGTGAAAAGTATGGGTTTCCTCTGAACTAGAAACGAAACCTGGTGAGCACATGTGAGTGATGACGGCCAGGATGCTTTAGGAGCAAAAACCCAAAAGGCGGAGTGAGGGGGATTCTGAGGCCCCAGCCCCGTCGGGGCAGCTGGAGCACTTGCGCCACATCTGGGCAGAAGGCACTGCACACATGGGACAGCCTCGTTGGTGGCTTCATCTCAGTCAGGTGAAAGGCGAAGCATCTGATCTCCTTGTAAATCTGTTTAGACCTTGTGTTGTTAACCAGACATGGTTTTTCTTGTGTGTGGAACTATGATCCAGTGAAAAAACAAAGCAAATATTCTACTGTTGCTATACTTTTTTTTTTTTGGTAACAAAGAAGGGTGGAAAGGGGAGTTACATATTTTGAGTATGGGGCATGTTATCTGAAGTACCCCTTTACTTGCCAAGAAACTCTGAGAGATAGGTATTATTATTCCAGTTTAATAGATGAGGAGACTGAGGCTTAGAAGACTAAAAAAAAAAAAAAAAAAAAACCAACACTTTCGCAAAGCCCTGTAGCTAGGAAGGGACCAAACTGAAAAGGCCATGCCTATCTCCTTACAATACGCTAGGTTCCAGATGCACACATGCACTCGCAGGCAGATACATTACCTCATGAATATGCCCAGGGTCCAATATGCCAATCTGAGCAGATCACTGTGAGCTGGTGAGCAATAAGCTAGTTATCATTAGTATGCAGGCAGGGGCATCAAATTGTAAATTCAGTTTACTTGTAATCCACAATATGAATGAAAATTCATGTAACTGAAATGTAAAAACATGAGGAGTGACTGAAAAAGCACTGAAAATTATAATAAAAATCAGAATTTATCCACTCAAAAAAGTATGCCCTTCAAATTATTCACCTTGAGGACAGCATGTATATTTCAACCACACTGCCATTGCCTAGGACTCTGCTGACATGTTCTTTTATTTGGAACTGCCTTCATAGCCAAGGGCTTAGTGGTACAAATATCTTTTGTAGGTAGCTACATATACAAGTTTGTGAGTGAGGATGTATTAAGTGCATTTCATCAAAATCATACATTTTAACAAAAAAAGCATGCCATGGATGCTATACTACTCAAAAAAATGACAAATCAGCCTAAACTAGATAATATGAGTCCAATTCGACCGTTAATAAAGTCAAGAAACTATTATTAGCAATTCTCAAGGTTATCATCATTGATATGTGGCTTTGTAGAAGGATAAATCTGAATTTAAAATAGATCTGGGTCGAAATCTGAGCATGATCCTAAGCAAATCCTTGTAAGCCTATCCTTTCATTTGCTCTATAAAATCATACTATGTCTCTCACAAGATTGTTATGAGAATTGGAGAGTATATAAAGTGACTGGTGCTTAGTAGATCCTCAGTAAATAAACATACAATCATTATTATTTTCACAGGGTGCTTCAGAGCATATACGAAGTACTTTTCACATACGTTAGCTCAGTCAACTCTGAAACCCAGCTCTGTTATGTAGGAAGTATTTCTTCTATCTAATGAATGAGGTAATTGTGATTCAATAATAAAAATAGCAAAAGCAATAAACAATATGTATTGAGCTCTTTCTATGTGCAGTTACTGTACTAAATGCTTTGTCAGCCATTTTATTTTTATTAATTAATTCTTTTAGAGACAGGGTCTTCCTCTGTCATGCAGGCTGGAGTGCACTGGCATGATCACAGCTCACTGCAGCCTCAAACTCCTGGGCTCAAGTGATCCTCCCACCTTGGTCTCCCAAAGCACCGAGTTTACAGGTATGAGCCATTGCACCTGGCCGCATTTTAAAATCTTAACATCAGGCCAGGTACGGTGGCTCATGCCTGTAATCCCAGGACTTTGGGAGGCTGAGGCGGGTGGATCACCTGAGGTCAGGAGTTCGAGACCAGCCTGACCAATATGGTGAAACCCCATCTCTACTAAAAATACAAAAATTAGCCAGGCATGATGGTGGACGTCTGTAGTCCCAGCTACTCGGGACACTGAGACAAGAGAATTGCTTGAACCCGGGAGGCGGAGGTTGCAGTGAGCCAAGATCATGCCACTGCACTTCAGCCTGGGTGACACAGCTGACTCCGTCTCAAAAAAAAAAAAAAACCTTTGAAGAAGGTATTATTGATAATATTATGATCCTCATTTTATGGACAGGGAAACTGAGGCTAAGAGATGCTACAATATCTTGCCTAAGTTCACAGGGGTAGTAAGTGGTAAAGCTGGAACACAATCCCAGGTCTGTCTTCTAAACCTATTATTGCAGCAACGGCTGGAAAATCCTGTGCCCTTTTGTCCATACAACAAGGTCCTTGGGTGGAACTCACGTAGAGCTACTGGGCATTTGATAAGGAAGTTTTGTAGCACAAAAATCCTTGTCCTTACCAAATTTCTGTGTATGCTACCAAACTTTACAGAGTTCATGGTTCAATCATCCTATGTATGTTGACATACACTCATACATGTGTATGAACACTGGGTGCTCCCTACAGCATAGTTAAAAATTAAGGCAGTGTTCTTTATAAGATGGCAGGACGTGACATGCGTTTCAATGCTTCACACACAAATACACACCAACAAAGCTGTCATTATATATGTGGAATCTGATTTAACATAACTAAAATTGTCAGAAATTTCTTATCAAGAGAATAGTCTTTCAGTAAAAATGAACTATCCAGAGAAGCCTTCCAAATCAAAATTATTTGCAAAGGATGCTAGAACATTTGGAGGTTCCTGATCAGATGCTGATATGAAGAAATGTAAACGGGTGGATCTCAAATGTGGATTTGCGGTGCACATATGTGCTTAACCAGACAACTCTCTCCGAATAAAGCCACTGGGCTTCTCTTGTGAACTCTCCTCTTGTATCTGATGATAGAAGAAAAGGATGCTGGAATCTCAGCTGGGTTGTTCTCTACCATTCTGTTCACTCCCTCACTGGTGTCTCCTTTATCTGACTGGAGCTGGACTGATTGCTATAAGCCAAGTCTCTCTCACTGGTTCTCTCCTCTGGTACCACAGCTTCCACACTCCTGATTTCACTGCTGACTTCAATCCAGTTCAAAGTGGAACATGGAACAGGATTTAAAAAGACAAACAAAAAAATGAAAGCCTTTGCTATCCCTCCAGTGCTTCCAGATTCATCAATCTTTGATCACATAATCAGTCAACGGTCAATAGCAGTGTCCAGGAGGGTCTACGCACAATAGGTTGTGAATGGAGATGTGTTACCTGGAATTTAGCGCTGTTTGGGCACAAGGTGCCCCCCAGGTTTCCAACTTTAAGGGTATAAATCTTGAAGGCATCTAGAAAGGATTCTGGAATGCAGCATGAGGAAGCAGCACTCCTATCCCTCCAGAGTGGAGACCTGCATATTAACTGCTCCACCCAGAGTGAGACCTGGTTCCCCAGTGGGAGACACTGTCAATTATCTGCCTCTCATTAATTTAATAGGCTGCAATAGTCCCGGGTTGTACCGCAAAAACAGAAGTATTGTCATATTCTAACTTTGGTAACAGTACGGGCAGAATGAACTTTCCCTGCTGGACTTGAGCACCTTCCTTAGTCAGCTTGTCTACTCTCGATAGGACCTGTGTAACATCACCTCCCAGGCATAATACAGGCTCATTTCCTATTACAGGCTGCTTCCTGTGCTGGACACTTTAAACAATTCACCTAGCTAATGTTTGTTGAGTACTTACTATGTGCCCTGCACTGTTCTTAACATTTCTGTGTAATAACTCATTCAATCCTTGAGAGAAGACTGTGACACAGGTAGCACGACTGTCATAATTTTACAGATGAAGAAGTTTACTCCCATGTTAAGTAGCTTGCCCTAAAATCGCATAGCACAGAAATAGTAGAGACAGGATTTGAACTTAAACTGTCTGAGTTCAGAACCTGCACTGTTAACTACTCTTCTCTCTAGTGAATCTCAGAGGCATTAAGTAGGAAAGGGTATGAGGCCCAGCCTACCAGCCATGGGAATCTGTGACATTTAGCCTCTCTAGGCCTGAATTCCTTCAAAGTAAAATTTAATTTTAACAATACTTCTCCTATATACATCACAAGGTTGTTAGAAGATCACATATATCAAATAAATCAAATATTGATATATATCAAATGCCAGTTCTCACCATCTTCATCAGGGCCTCATAAATTGCCATCCTTTGGGTGTTAACTGGGGCCCCCAAAATGAAAACCAAAGTCCTTTGCTTTGCCAGTTGAATACAGGAGCAAAGACTAGCTCATAGCGCATTGCTATTTCAACGCTTTTACCAAAATGGTCTCAGATGAATTGAATAGGTAATGAAATTAGCCAGCCCCACTAAGATAGAGAGTGAGAGTCTGCCCTAGAATAGGCTATGGAAAAATGAGCGGTATCTTCTCTTCAGAAAGCCCTGAGGTCATGCTAGTCATCTGCCTGTGGTACACCAGGATATTAAAAATAATACCACAACAATACGCTGGACACAGTTAACATGATGAAAAGGCCGATGAGATTATACATAAAAAAGAAATGCTGCCTTTCTGTTAGAGACAGAAAAAAGTGTTAATACAAATGAACAGCTGTTTGGGAAGAAAACATCATTTCCAAAACCCAGACAAAGCTCTGTTTATTACATTTCAGAGACATTTAAATTATAGTGTCTGAAAAACGATCCTATCATGGGTATCTGTGACACCTAAATTATCTGAAAATCTGAAAGGTTAAGCCGAAACAGAGGCTGTGTGAAAGACTAACATACAGAAAATTCTTTTTTCTCAAAGGATGAGGTGAATAAATCCTTTGCATGGGATAACTGAATGAGTACTAAGTTTCAGGACTAAACTTTTTGAATATCCAATAGAACATAGTACATTCAAAATTGATTTAAAGATGTTAATGTATGCTCTTCCAAAATTCGAAAAGCCAAATTCACGACTCCCATTGGCCTGTTGCTGTTCCTGTGTTCTTCACGCTGGTTCTCCTGGCTCGCTACTGCCTCCAGCTCCAGGCCTGTCTCAGATGCTCCACAGAAGGCCTGGTCAGCTCTCTCTGCTCACAGTGCCAGGCCAGGCCTATCATGGGAGGTGTTGGGCATGGCAGCCACTGAAGCAGGCTTGGGCAGGAATTTGTTCCCACCAGCCCCGACCCTCCCAAAAGAGACCATGACTCACCCATGCCTTTTCCATGGACTAGCATGTACCCAGCCATCTCTAGGCATTTCTAGAGAATAAACTGTCACACTTTAGTAAAAAAATTCTAGCTAAGGAAAAATAAAGGAAACTGTATTTAGTTGGCCCTAGGGAAAGTGAAACAATGATCAAATGATTGATCACACTGGGAGTCACTGTTACAGTCCAGTAGAGGTGGAATGCTGTATCTTTGTCCAGTCGATTCAATTAAAATACAGACATTAGAATGGAAAAACAACACACAGAAGAATACTCAAGTCTGTAATCACCTGTGACATGTACTGGAGCTTTCAATCTAGGTATCCTCACGATGGGGTGACCAGGACTTGAATGCCAGTGGGTCATCCAGCAGGAAGGAGTCTCACTCACCCTATGCAAGCATGCTTGCCTGCCTGCCTGCCTTTTCCCTCCATCGACTTCTTGTTTATTGTCCTATCTTACTTCCTACACACCTCACACGGTGTTGTGCAGCTTAGTTAGTCTGCGAAGGCTTGAGATTTTTCTGATGAAAGGTGTTATGGTGTTATGTAAATACACAGTATTATTTTGTCTTTATTCCAGCAATACTGGTTTGAAATAGTTCAATGTGTGTAAATATGTGTAATAATGTGTATTAATTTGATTTTTTTTAGCAATTCCTTGGCATCCCAGTTAACTAAGTGGCAGCAACCTTACTTGCCTGATGAAATATTAAGTATAGTTACAGAAAACTATTAACTGGTCTTTGTCCCTTTCAAATCAAATGCTAACTATATTAGTCTTCTAAGCACTTGTAATAATCTGCTTGAATACTAGACAGAATTACCAAGTTGTGACCTCCCATGAATAAAACAGAGGTATATGCAAAGGTTAAGGTTCATAACATAGCAACTAGCCCACCCCAGAGGATGGGAACAGGTGTGTAAGCTCCCCGAAAACAATTCGTGTAACTGGAAAACCTAAGTGAACAACATTCAGAAAAAGCACCACCAATGCCACCACATGCTTCAAACTCTAATTTACAAAAATCACTTTTAGGATCAGGTGTCAAACAGGGCCATGTTAATTGTGATAGCCACTTTTGTTCCCCTCTAGGAACAGCATTTCATCCAACCATGTTAACAATTTTGGGTCAAGAGGACATGAGCACAGCAACCCAACTTTCTACACAAGGCTCTGAATGAAGGGTTATTTTCAGCCGTCTCTCTAGCCAATGGCACCTACCCCTGCTGGCTCTCACGGGAACACCGAGAGTTCACATCCATCCCTTGGATGGGTATTTCCAAGAGATTTCATGATTTAAACAGTCTATGTGGCCATGTGCCCTACTGGCAGAACGGTCTCATTACCCTCCCTATCGAAGATGTCGGAGTACCACCCAGGCAAACAGAGTCAAAGGTGCAGGCTCTGGACTCATCACAAAGACAGGGAGAAGATGTCAGTGGATTACTAAAAACTCAAAAACCTAATCATATGGTGAATTTAATGAGTAATATTACCATGGATTACATTTTTGTTACATATATTATTTTTTCCCTCCCAAGATAAAAGTCTGGTTTTAGACCCATATTGTGAGTGGACTGTGCTATATTAGGCATTACAGGAAGCGGTTTCCATCAGGCTGGTCTTGGGGCTGGACAGACACAGGAGCAGCCCTGGCTGGCTGGGCAGTCAGGAGGTCCAGCAAGGCACAGAATCATGTCCTCATATTGGGGATGTCAGGGCTGTCAGCCAGAAGTCATGTGCTTCTTCTCATTTTGGGTCTTAAGTCTAAAATTGTTTTCTAAAGTGTGCAATCCAAAAAAATATTAGAAGAGAAAGGGCCTTATTCTCCTCTGCATACACTGCCTCTCCCTAGCCATCAAGTGTTGCCACTCTACAGAGCTCCTCTTGGCCTTCTCATGCTTACCTGTTCCTTCTTCTGTGCCCTACCCATGGCTCTTACCACAGTGCACTATGACTGTCTGCCTCCTGCACTAAAATGTTAGCTCCTTGAGAGTCAGGACTGAATCCTGCTGGTACCCATAGCATCCAGCACAGTGTCCAATACATGCAGCTGTTGAATGAAAGAATGCATTTTTAAGAACAGCATCAGTGGACTTGACTGTGTTTTGAAAGCTCCTATTGGCCCTGGATCAGATGTCACAGGGTAAGGGGAAAGATTTATTTATCTTTTAAAATAAACAGCTTTCAGAGAACCACTGACAAAACCATTTCCACCTTTGGTGGAAGCAGAGAGTTGGTTGCATGTGTGGCAGTCATATACTTTTTTTGTCTTCCAAAGAGCCTAGGGTTTTTTTTTGTTTTGTTTTGTTTTGTTTTTTGCCAAAAGATGAGAGAAGGCAAATATCTTGGTGCAGAAAAGGCCTTGGGGACTTTCTAGGTAAACAATTTCACTGGCAGCAGCTGGGGACCCAACAGCACTATGATATTGCTAAAGCTGTTTAAATGCAGTGCACACATAGGTGCTGGTGTCTTCTGGCTGTACAAAAGGTAGGAGTTTTAAGATAATGTGAAAAAAATACAATGTAAATTTGTTCTACTATTCATGCATTCATTTTTGCTCAGCAAATATTTTCTGAGCACCTACAATGTCTTCTTTACTGGGCGTTGGGATACAGTGGAGAACAAGACAGCCAAGATTTCACTCCAAGGAGGTTGCATAGTTGTTAGCAAGATGACATTTGTGAAAAGGATGTGTGTATGACAGTGTTAGGAGGGAAACCTCACTGGTTACTGTCCTTACCTTCACAGCCACACAGCCCCTTACCTAAAAAGATATTGCTTTCTGTCATGTCTTTATATGCACGAGATGACTTTTGCTATCATTTGTTTATGGAGGGTTATTTTTAGAGGCAGGGATGATAGGAACGAGAACACTGGAGCTCACCACTCCACAGGTTCCTCCTCTTCTAGATCATGCATCCCAGCTCCTGCAGTTGGTTGAGCCAGGTGACTTGAGTTCTGGCAAATGGGGAAGGGCAGAAAGTAGTGGGCTCAATCCTCGGCCTGGCCTCCAAACCTTTCCTGCAGCCCCCTTCATTCCCTCTGTGCTACACTGATGCAGGGTTGAGAAGTGGTGGAGAGAGGGTAAGGTAAAGTGAAATCTTAGAGTAAAGAACCAATGGGATAAGATCTCATTCCAAAGATGTTGTGTTTCACTTACCTGAAGTCCAAGTACCTCTTATGAGCTCTGATCACAGTGGCTACCAAAATATATTAGGTATTAGCCCTTCCCCTCGAAGAGGTCATGACCCATTTGGGCTCGGAAAAGACCTTTGCACATGGGAACAAGCAGTAAATATGTGTGTGAGGGCTGTGGGCCAGGTGGAGGTGAATCTTCTTAGAATTGAGAAGAGGAATTCATCCAAGAAAACACCTCCCTTGACGCTAAAGCTCTGTATAGTATTGAGTTTTAAAAATGTACCATGGTACATTTAGACGCACCAATAGTCCAGAAATAAGGAATGGGATGAAAATGAAACAGACTGCCTCAGTGGTAACAAAGGTTCCAATGAAATAAATGTCAGAACTCAGCAGAATGGTCATGTAGCTCAGCTCTGTCTGACTGTGCCAAGAAAGAGAAAACATCTCTCATCAGTGCAAATTTTTTGAAGATGAAGAAAATGGACTTCTGAAGCCTCTTAAAGACTCTGAAAGTCATGCCACAGATACAGTTACAAGGAACTGGTAACTCCTCAAAACCATGCTGCGGAATTAAAGCAAAGACTTCAGATGCTACTCTCCCCAAACAGAATTCATGGGGACCTCGAGGTCAGTGACACCTTTCAGAGCACAGACTGGAATAGTCAGAGTGACCCAATGTACTCTCCCTTTGATCAACCTTACATTTGACTGCATTTTAGTAAATTATCCATGTAGTTGTATTTTGACAGCTCTCTTTACAGCAGTAAAACAAAATGTGTGCATCGCAAATGGCAAAGATTCAAATTTCAGCTATGTTTATCCAAAATAGCGCTGAACTGCTTCTGTACTTCTGCTATACTGCCTACAGCTTTACGGAAGGGAAGACAGATGGGATGAATTTAGCAGGGAAACAGCTGTGGCTTGAAGAAGAGACAAGCAAAAGTTTTGCTATCAGGCTTCATTATGTATCAAGGTACCAGTAAAATGTGTACCCGTAAGGCAGCCAAAAAAGTGTTTTTCATTTGACTAGTGATAATTACCTTTTCTCAACAGCTGACAATGTTCTAAGTAGCATTAAATAGGTATAATAATTAAGCAATAAGATACAAGCGTCAGTGCCTCACTGGGAATTGTGGTTTTCTTCAGGTGTGCTGGGAGGCACAGGCTAAGAGGCCACAGACTTCCACCACCTGAGAAAGGGAACAAGCCGAACACGCTGCCGTCAGGGGTGCAACAAACAGAAAAAGGAGAAAAAGCTACACAGGGGAGAGGGAAGCTGGGGACTTATTGGTGTGGCCACAACATTACCGAAATAGAGTTAAGTCAATGCCCATCTCCAGTATTTCCATCTCTTTCTTCACAATAAACATGCTTCAGTCACACTTTGTTCCAGTCAGCTAGGGCTGCTCTACCTATAGCTTGTGAAAATGGAAAATTGGGCTTTTGGTCCTCTGAATCATCTTTATCCATTTTTAAATGTCCAATCAGATGTTCTTCAAAATGGACCTGCTTCAACTTTCTGTGAACAGGAAATGTCCAGTTTTGACATGACTGGCGTGGTGATCAGTCACACTGTGAGTTGGGTGGACTGTGAGTGACTGTTCCCTGCTGGCGCCAATTCCATTCCTGCGGGTCGCCTCAGGGAAGGCTGACCAACATGCCACCAGAATCCTCCCGGAGATCCTCCTAGAGAAAGTAGTGCTCGCTACACACACTTTGTGTTTAAAATAAGAAATCATCCATTTTGTGAAAAAAAAAATCATGCCTCTTTATCTCAATAGAGGCTTCTATATTGGGTGACCAAAAAATAATATAATGTATGAGCATTATTAACACCTGATAAATTGTTCTAATAAATAGATTCTTTACAAATCTAATGTATGTCACACTGGTGAATAACATCATGTTCCACTCAGATCAATAACATTAATATTGCCATGGTAACAGAAGGGAGAAAGGCAGAGAAAGCCTTAAAAAAGAACAAACAAAATAAGACCTATATGCAATAATCCCTTGAGTGACAGTGACATTTGGTAGTACAAATTTTCCTAAACAGCTTGGAATTACCACGTCACCATTTATTACCATTGAGTGGTAATAAAAAAAAGCATTAGCATACTCAGAAGCACGTGCAAACTGATTAGAAACTTACTAGCTTCTCGAGGCCTGGGCAGGAGGATCACTTGAGGCCAGGAGTTCAAGACCAGCCTGGGCAATGTAGTGAGACCTCATCACCAGAAAAAATAAAAATATCAGCTGAGGGTGTTGGTACGCCTGTAGTCCCAGCTACTCAAGAGGCTGACGTGGGAGGATCACTTCAGCACAGGAGTTAAGGCTGCCACGAGCTATGATTGTGCCACTGCACTCCAACCTGCACAACAGAGTTAAACCCTGTCTCTTAAAAAACAAAAACTTATTAGCTTTCTAAATATTTTAGTATCACCTTCCATTCCCACTCTTCCAAAAGGTTGTGTTTTCTTTCATTTTAGGTACAATTATTTCCACCCCCCACCCCCCAAGCCTTTCTGTAATACACCTCCGTTCTTCAGTGACTTGTTTCTGGCAGAACGTGCTGAACCTCTGGCCTCCTCCACCTTATTGAGTCTTGAAAAGCCCCATGTTAGCCACTGATTTTCCAGGTTCAACAGGACCATCTTCTCTTTAGAGGCAGAAAGATACTATGAACTTTCAGTGAGAGCACAAGCTTTCGAGTCAGGCAAACCTATTTAAATTCTAGCTTTCCCTCCTAGGACTGTGCAGCTGTGGCCACACTTCCTCCCTCCGAGCCTCCACTTCCTCAATCATAAATTGGAAGAAACCTTGAAAGACTATTGTAAAGACTATTGTAAAGTACAGTAATGTCTGAGTGAATTGTCAATAACTAGGGACTACTTTTTTCATTATGGGAAGGAAAGGCTTTACCAAATTGTCCTTTCTGTCACTCTTTTATTTCAGATTATTGCCCCTCTGCTTTTTCTTCTCACTCTCCATAGTCTGCCTCAAATTTAAGGTAACATAAACACATTTGAAACTGGTAATATTTTACTATCTCCACCACATTTTTCTCCATCTATCAGAACACAAGAATTTCCCACATAGAGATATTCATGCAATAGCTTAAGGCACGTATCTTGGGACTCAATTCAGAAACTGATCAGACGTCCCTTGTAGGAAAACAGTGGCAGTTTAGTGGCAGGAATGCCGTTTAGAGATCACTGACAATGGGAATATAAAACAATGCCATATCTGACTGGAATCACAGGAAGCGCTTCTAAAAATTTTTACTATTATGGGAGCTAAAATATTGCTAAGATTCTTCAAATCAGCATCCCTTCTTCCCAGAATTGGCAGCCACACTGCCCAGGTTCACGTTTGGCATCTATCACATAGTAGCTGTGTGACCTTCAGCCTGTTACTCAACCTCACTGTGCCTCAGTTTCCTCATTGTTAAAATGGGGATATTGCTAGTACTCGCTTCATGTGGTGGTTATGAAAATTCAGTGGGTTTAAAAGGTAAGTGCTTAGAAGAGGAGCTGGTACATAGCAAGCACGCTCTAAAGTTAGCTGCTGCTACTACAGTGATGAGAATTACAATGACGATTATTATATATTTATTATATCTTACATAATTATATATTATATAATAACAATTATTATTGCAAGAGGTGTCAGGAAATTTTTACATGGTAGCAAGAAGCTTAACACAACATTCGGTGCTGTCAAACTGTGGAAATTAGGGAATCAAGGACAGGGCCAGAACCAAGAATTCTTGAAACACAAAAGCAGAGGCCAGGGTCCCTGGCCAGGGAGGCTAAAGGATGGTTGAGCTTCTTACAGCAAAGACCTTAAGATTGTGTGTGCTGAGTAGTCAGATGTCTTCACGAGAACACTTCTAAAATTAGTAACTCACTCTGACCCACACAAAAGTCAAGATGAGGACAGAACTGTATCTTGTGTCTTCGTCATTTTGGGATGGGTCCTGAAGGTTTCTGCAGGACCTCTATCCATACCAGCACACCTGACAATTATATTTCTGCCAGAGAGTGATGCCTAACATATTATAGCCAAATTTTAAAATCTGTTTAGAAAAGAGACGAAAACACATATTAACAGACTAGCAGCAATGCTGCCTCACAGTATAAGTCAATAAAATCCCTGTCTCCTGGTTTCCTCATATTGTAAATGGTAATAACCACCCTTGATAACCACTTAACAGAGGGATTGGAGAGTGCCAGCTGAAATTTGCAAAGTACGCTTGAGGTTGCAATTATGTAAACATCGAAATGATCTCTCTTTTAAGAATGAATTTTGAGCGACTTAAATCAAAGTGTTAAGGACAAAAGCTTCATAAAATGCATGAAAAATTGGACTTAGATACTATACTTTGAAATCAACCATCAGCATTACAAATGTCACGTATGCACCGACTGTTACCAGCAGAGAAGTTCAAAAGTAAATACACCGCATTTGACAACCTAATCCTCAATGCATGATGCTAGTCAATAATGGGAAGCCACTGCAAATATGGAAACTGACAGGCCAAGCAAAGCAAATATATTTTTACTTAAACGGTGAATTCTTTCTGTACATTTTCTACAGGGCTCCTATAAGTCATTTAAAATATTCGGTTCTGAATGACCACTTTAAACAGAAAGAATGATGCTTTGGATCTAAAACCGATGATTAAACAATGCGGACATTTACATGAATTATTTTTGGTTTTGTGATAATTTTCATTGTTGACATGACACTGAGAATGAAACTTCTTTTATGGCTTCAGGATCAACAGAATAGACACATGCTATTCTGAATATGAATATTTATAAGATTTTTCCTTAAAGAAAAAAATATGAAATAATCAATAAATTATTTTTTTACAAAATAAGGTGCACTCAACCAAAAGAGAATCAAAGATCTGTTGATTCCTCAGAAAGCATTAATGTTTCTAGCATGCGTGATAAATACCTACGAGTCTTCCGCCCATTTTCCTTTTTGGAAGTTCATCACTGTATATTCTGTGACAATCTGCTCCCCTAGAATTTGGAATTTGAATAAAACAGATTTGGTTGCTTTTTCCTCAGATGAATGCACAAAGACCCTTAAAAACAAATGTTCTTTAAAAGTGTGATGCCTGTATTTAACATTTATTAAAGATATAGCATCTACCAAAAGATTTTCAAGCTGAACTCTAGGTCTTCCATCCCAATTCTACAATAGAAAGTTAAATATGATCAGAATACATGGTCCAGGAAAAGCACAAGAACGAAGAGATAAAGATGGAAGATTGCCCCCTAAATACAATAAAATAAAAAATAATCCCCTACCCCTTTACCAAAACCAAGCCAATTGCCCTCCCTCTACCCCCTTTTTAAATGCTGGGAATGACCCACTTTAACCTAGGCATATTGGTATAAAAATAAAAGCAAAAAATCTAGCTTTCTTGATGTATTTATATGAAAATAAACATATAGGCACAGCTAATAGCTCACTCTAATTTCTCTCTAAGCAGAGCCTCTCATACAGGTTTACTATTACATTCAGAGGCATGCATTTTTTAAAAATACTATTTACTCTGCCACTACATCTCCAAATTTGTCATCTGACTATATTTGTACAGCTTCGTTAAACTAATCCCCAGAAGTGTCCCACGTCATTTAGCTTTTGATAACCTGAAAAGCCCAGTGACCCTGGGTCATCTGCATGACCCAAAGCCAGCCACAGAATTAATAAGTGAATTTCCCTACCAACCAGGGCAGGCTCAAGGATGAGAGCAGAACCCGATGACTCTTCTCAGACCTAATTATGTCAGGCTTTCCTGTTCAGTAAACCAAAACAGGGAGAGAAAACTGAGGAGAAAGGCTTTCCACCAAGATAAATTCTGCATGCTCCCGGTTCATTCGATGAATAAGGAGTTGGAAGATCCAGAAAACTAGGATGATGGAGACTGAACTGACTGGGTCCATGCTCTGAGCTCCCACAGCCTGTAGACCAGCGATCAGCCCACGCCAACAGTCCTTGCTCCTGCAACACGCATCCCTTCGGTCCAGAGGCCATTCTGACCCACTTGTTTGTTTCCTTAGGGGCCACAGCGATGCCCAACCAAATATTTGGACAAATGAGAAAATAATTTGTTGAGTAACATTATCAAATGTACTTTGCACTTGAAATGTGGCACACACAGAGGGTTCTAATAAAGTAAATCACGTTTATATGCATTACAAGGGGAACTTACTATAATGAATTATGTTGCTAAGTGAAGAATGACTACTTAACTAATCCATTTTGTAAATATGGATTTAATATGTTGGGTTTGCTTAAAGTGAGATATACTGACAACAGTTTGGCTTTCTATCAAGCTGGATTTGGAGTAAGATATTTTGAATTAGGTCATTTATTAAATTTCAGAGCCTCTAGTCTCTCAACATGATCAAGTGTGATCAAGATAGATGGAAATAGGCTAGGTGCGGTGGCTCTCGCCTGTAATCCCTGCACTTTGGGAGGCCAAGGCAGGCAGATCACTTGGGGTGAGGAGATCGAGACCAGCCTGGCCAACATGGTGAAACCCAACTCTATTAAAAATACAAAAATTAGTTGGGCATGGTAGCCGACACCTGTAATCCCAGCTACTTGGGAGGCTGAGGCAGGAGAATTGCTTGAACCCAGGAGATGGAGGTTGCAGTGAGCTGACATAGCACCACTGCACCCTAGCCTGGGCAACACAGCGAGATTCCATCTCAAAAAATAAAAACAAAAATAAAGATAGATGGAAGTAAAGCAATTAACGTTTAGCAACTGGCCTACTTTTTCATGTTAGGGCAAAATAAAACTTCAAAATTCCCTAGGAATTTTTTGTTAAAGCTTTCAAAAGTTTTCATTTCTTCATTCTGAAATAGATTTCCTCCTTTCAAAATTAAACTTTTCTTTTAAAATGTGCCCTAGATTTTCCTTGTCTTATGAATTACAGCATTTTAATCATAAGTAGTGTATATAATTTCAAAATTAATATTGCTTTTGGTTATTGAAAACAAATGAACAGTTAGAAAATTACGTCATGGTGGATCTATTCATTTTGTCAAGCAGTTTATTTCCACCGTATCTGGGAAGCTTATTCCCACCGTATCTGGGAAGTTTATTTCTACCGTATCTGGGAAGTTTTCTCTGGTTACCCCAGACACCGACCACAGTGGAGGGTGCATCTGTCATGCTGACTGAAATCCTGACCAGGTGAACGGTCCACTCTTGCAAAATGCTATGCTGCTCACTAAACAAGATAACAGGGACAAACAGAAGATAGTACAGGAGCACAGGCTTTAGACATCTCAGTTGTTGAATAATGTAACTTCTCCAACTCTCCTTTGGCTCCTTTGGAGAACACGGTTATTATTATTATTAACCACAATATGTGAGATAACATATGCTTAGCTGGAGCAGATTCCTATTAGCCACTCAAAAACGGCGACCTCTTCCCTTACTCGTGCTTGTTCCGACATGCCCAAACGGGTACAGTGATGTAGGCTGTGGTGCACGGGGGCTGTGGGGTAAGGAAAGAAGTGCATTCCGAGTGGATGCATTACCTCCCACAGTTCCAAGATAACCAAACGTGAGCGAACCAGGCCTCTCTGCCTGGCTGAAGGGGTATGAGTCCCGGGAAGAGGAAACTCTGATTTTAGGCCTGTGGAAATCAGTTCCCAGATGCTCTGCTTGGCCTCTGTGTCTCAGTTTCATAGTTTCAAAGGAAGACAATACTAATAATTCATCTTGCACGGTATATATGAAAAGAAGTATCTTTTTCATGTTTTAAAGGTCATTGAATATATAACAGCTAGATAGTTAAAGCAAAATACCATATTCATCAGTGAAATAGAAAAGTTTAGCAGCATTCATCTGTTCTCATTTTAAATTTACCACAGTATGTAAATTAGAGGATTTAAAAAAGCATCAGGCAAAAATCTGAGCTAGGTGCGAATGAAAAGCACAATCAGAAGCAAATTTGTGACTGCTTGAAGTTAAGAGTTTGCCAAATGGGATGGTACTTAGATTTTACTACTAATCTGAGTTTATGTAAAGCCAATAGAAAGATCCCAATTATTGTTATATACCCAGAGTAGGAATTTGCTGCTAAACTGCTGGAGAATATAGGTCTCAGGTTGGCTTTTGTAAACATCTTATTTTATGTGCTGAAATTATCACAGGAATACTACACACTGAGCTGAACTTTAAACACTCAGTCCTGGTATTATATATACAGTCTGAAGAAAATAAACCAAATAAAATTTGGATTACTGGCTGAATTACCTGATTTTAAAAATATTTTGCTGGAGTTGAGAGAATCTATTTAGCCAGGAAGAGCAGTTATTCTATCAACCGAACATTTCAAAATACGATTGATGGCAAAATGAGATAACCTGATCATTCTTAACAGGATTTTCTTACATCCAGAACATTCACACTGTATCAGAAATGTACAGAGGCGGGTTTGTGATTCACACTCTTGTAGAGCTCAGTGGGCCAATATGTTACATTGAGACATCAGCCTACTATTTAAACAACACCCTGTCTGGTTTCTATGGCACAAACTACCTTCAAAAACAAAATGAACCATATTAAATGAAGCCCAGGGAAAGTCAAGCTCAGGAGTGCTGCCATAGTCTGTACTCCGAGTCAGGAGACCTGGACTTTTATGTTGCATTGACCCTGCAGTCTTGGGCTGGGGCCTCAAGCCCACCAAGAAGAGTGTAATTTACCAGCCACTGCAGAGTACAGCCGGTGGGATGGAGACAGATGCCCACCTGAGTGCCAAGCGAAACCTGCTCCAAATTTTGTGATCCCCAGTCTGAATTCCCAAAGTCCTAGAATACTGTTGATCACCTCCTGCACCCTCCAATAACATCATGATATCTCATCAACTCCGGAAAAGGAGAGTCATAAGATAAATGTATTTTCTACTTCACAATGCCTAATCATTCAGAACACTACACTTTTTGAGTGCCTACTATGTTCCAGGCACTGTTCTAGGCAGCAGGAAATCAGTGATGAACAAGACGGATGAAGTCCTTGCCTCGTGGCACTCACAGTTCAGAGAAGGAAAACAACAGAGTAAGAAGAGTCACTCAGTTCTTCAACGTTTTGAGAGGCTGCTAAAGGATCAGACCTAGAACCTTGCCTGGCACAACAGAAGCCCTCACAGAATAATTGGATCTGCTTCTCAGAAAAGAAATAAGTAAACATTAAGTTTTATATAAATTTTATGAAGGTTCACAGCCCATCTATGCATTTCAGTGTAAGAATCTCATTGCAGGCTGGGCACGGTGGTTCACACCTATAATCCCAGCACTTTGGAAGGGTGAGGCAGGAGGATCACTTGAGTCTAGGAGTTCAAAACCAACCTGGGCAACACAGTGGGACCCCATTTCTAAAATATATACATATATATATAGCCAGGTGTGATAGTGCACACTTAACAGTCTCAGCTACTCAAAAAGCTGAGGGAGGAGGATCCCTACAGGCCAGGAGTTCGAGGCTGCAGTAAGCTGTGACTGCACCACTGCACTCCAGCTTGGGTAACAGAGCCAGATACTGTCCCAAAAAAAAAAAAAAAAAAAAAAAAAAGAGATGAGATCATCTCAAGGGTAGGGAGAAGTCAAAAAGGTATGACAGAGAAAGAGATAGAGGAGTCTAACTCTGTTTGCAAGGGTTACTAGGGGAGGTAACAAAAAGGGGAAGACGAAAAACCCCAGCTGAGCCTGTTACTGTTTGCATTTCCTTTTACACAACTAACACATGCTTAGTGCAGAAAACTTAGAAATGGCCAGAAAGTGCAGTGGAAGAAGGCACACCAGTAATCCCAGAGAGCACTACTATATTCCTTTCTGGTGTGTGGCCTACTGTCTGTCTGTGTGTGCACACACATGGAAACGCCTGAGCATGCACACGCAGGTGTAACGAGATGTAACAAGAGGGACACAATTTTATTCAGCAGCTGTGTGGTTGTCAAAGGGCCTTTGATGGAAGGGTTTTTTAACTGTGGGTCATGACCCTTTAGTGGGTCACAAAATTACTTTAGCAGGCCGCAATCAACTTTTTATTTTATTTTTTGAGACAAAGTCTGGCTCTACTGCCCAGGCTGGAGTGCAGTGGCGTGATCTCAGCTCACGGCAACCTCTGCCTCCTGGGCTCAAACGATCCTCCCACCTCAGCCTTCTGAGTAGCTGGGATTACAGGCACGCACCACCAAGCCTGGCTGGTTTTTGTATTTCTTTTTTTGTAGAGACGGGGTTTCTCTATGTTGTCTAGGCTGATCTCGAACTTGTGAGCTCAAGTGAGCCACCCAACTTGGCCTCCAAAGTGCTGGGATTACAGGCATGAGCCATCGGGCCTGGCTTAAATTTCCTTTAGTATATATACGTAAGTGTCTGTATGCATGTGTGTACAATGTGTGCTTACTCAAGAAGCAGGCTACTCTGAATATGTCCATTTAAGACAAGAGTTGTGGCAGAACTGGATGGTTCTGCATAATAGAAGGGGGTGAAGAATGTTTGGCTCCTAGAAATATGAGAAGGCAAAGAATTAGAAAGTTATAGGGTTAAGGAAAGCGGGAGATAGGACAAAAAAAAGTTCCAAGTTGGGAATGCACCCAGGAAAGGATTATGGAGGGGAGAACTAAGTATTAATGGAGATTGTTATGTTGTTTCTAAGGGAGGTATGGCATGAATGTTTTCCATCTTACAATATCTTCAGTAAAATCCATGCTGATCAGCAGTACATTTGTGCCTATGAAATCTTTAGGGAAACTCAAGGAGATGCTGAGCTCTATGTACAAACTGACATGGGGCAAAATTTGAGTCTACATGTGTGAGATACACAAGCTAGAGTATGAAGAAGATGTGACATTTGCAGTACATATCCATCTATAGATCTATAACTATATACCTTCTGTGTATGCAAAAGATGAAATAATGTATACTACTTTTACCCTATTTCCCCTTAGGGGATATATTTTGAACATTTTGTCATATCAATAAACACTTCTTTTTCAACAAGTGATTTTAGCAGCATTTTAGAATTAAATGCTATATTAATCCTAACGCCTGTAATCCCAGGATTTTGGGAGGCCGAGGCGGAAGGATCACCTGAGGTCAGGAGTTCAAGACCAGCCTGGCCAACATGGTGAAACCCCGTCTCTACTAAAAATACAAATATTAGCCGGGCGTGGTGGCGCACACCTATAATCCCAGCTACTTGGGAGGCTGAGGCAGCAGAATTGCTTGAACCCGAGAGGCAGAGGTTGCAGTGAGCTGAGATGGCACCACTGTACTCCCAGCCTGGGCAACAGAGCAAGACTCTGTCTCAAAACAAACAAACAAACAAAACCAGGTTATATAACAAAACAAACAAACAAAAATAAACAGGTTATACATACCCTATGCTGTCCACTCATATCTCTACTAAAACAGGGGCTAGCAACGCTAGAATACATGCTTTCCCACGAGACAAGAATCCCTGGAAGTCAGTGATTGATTTATCTTCCATATCTCCAAGGTCTGCAGAATTCCTATCATGTAATAGGTATTCAATCACCTTTGTATTTTTCGCTGGTTTTCTGTTTCAAATGAACCAAACTATACAGCAGCTTAAAGGAGTTGCAAAATAGCTAATGAAGCCAGGGGAGTTCAAACCCTAATGGTGTGGTGGAAAGAACTGAGGACACATATGGAATCAGCCTATATTAATCCTAACCATTACCTAACAACTTTTAAATGAAAACAATGTCAGTTCCTAGAGAATCATTCATTAATTCAATACACTTCCATACACTGGGACTTCAGAGATTGATAACACATGGTTCACATTGAAGACCTCACAATCTAATGAGGAGAGAAGGACATCGAAGGCCATGAATACAGTGCTCTAAGTGCTGGAAAACAGAGACGTCTACCATAGGAACAAGGTCTGACTAACTGCCTAGAATCAGGGAATGTTGGCCTCTAGAGAAAGCTCATGTTTTTAACCCTGCCCCTACCCAACCTCAAAAATCCCACCCTGAAAGAATAGTTCTGGTGAGAAATTTGGCAATCAGATCCAAATACGTTTTCAAGCTCTTCCTTGGAGCCATTTATTGAAGTGGAAAAGACAGAATCCCAAGATGGGAGTGTGGACCTAAGGGGAAAGGGCCAAGGGACTGCCCGAGTTGCCACATTTGCAGTCACTGAGGCCTCCCTACTCTAGGCAAAAGGCCAAAAGGAGCCCAGGACTCCATGGTCCAGTCGGGCCTAACAGGAGGTAACCCTGCTAGTGAACACAGAGGCATAATTCAAAATGAGAACTACGAAATGCAACACTAACACTATGTGTTAAGGGCCATGTGGAAAAACTGGGGCACTTCCAGACGTCGGTCACAAAAATAATGATTTTAAAGTGGAAGAGATACAGAAGTTAAGTATATTTGGTTTGAACAAGAAATGATAATGTGTTTCCAAGGATCGTCTTCCAAGGGCTGTTCTGCCTGGCTATGTGAAAGAAGAAACGTGTTTCCCAGCCTCAAGTCTATGCTATCTCCTTCATCTATGATACAGAAATCACTAGCAATATGTAAAAAGCCAAATTTAGCTGATTTTTTAAAAACAAAACTGTCACAAATTTTGCAACTTACCAATTATTCTTTAATGTATCAGCCACTGGGGGAACCAAAAGCTTGGAAAATATATAATTCATTCCAAATGGTTATCATAAAATTTGTAAAGTCAGAGTCATTTATGTAACTGCTAACAACCTTAGCAAGTCGCTCCATTAAGCATGACCTACAAACCTTGAAAAATAAGGATCAACTAATAACACAATGAGTTGTTAAATAGCCTAAGTAGAGCCAGGCAGCCACTCCAGTTATAATGAGATCAAAGCATATTTAATAGTGTGATTAACACTTACTGAGTGTCCACTGGATGTGCATCATTATACAATAAAACTATAGATTTTTATTACTTCATAATAGTAATTAGACACACATATAGTGAGTAGGTTTTCCAAACATGAAGATATACATGAGAGGTTATAAAATATTTTTTAAATGTTGCACATACACATCAAGTTCTGCTTTTGTCTCATTTTTACCCTTCTACAATTTTAGGAGATAAAAAGGATGATAAAATATGATGATTTTTAAAAAGAAGATAAAAAGGACTACAAATTCATTTAGTAAATGCCTTCTAAGGGCCAGGATCTGAACTATAGGCAAGAGATACAAAGATGACCAGAGTATGGTTTCTGTCCTTAAGGAGTCACAGTCTAAACAAGTTGGACAGTCAAAGAATAATTATAATGTCCTGTACATTTGAGCAAACTGCTGTCTGAACGAAGTGCTGAGTAACACAGAGAGTGGCATTAAGGAAGCCTGTACTGGAGATGATGGCTGACCTGTGTCTTGGGAAATAAGAGGTCTCTAGGCAGGGGAGGAAAAGGTCTTTCAGGCACGAGCACCCGGACTGTGAATTCTGAGAGACAAGGGTTAAGTCTTACACATCTTTTCAACCCCAAAGCCTACCACAGGCCCCTGTTACCATTGTTAGAACACAATACATATCTGAAGAATGTATGTATGTAGAGTGAAAGAACTATAAATAAAATAAATACATGAACAAACACCAACCACCTCTCTACTTTTATTCACACTTGATTCTAGATTCCTGAGAAGAACGGAACAACAGAAAATCCCTTTTCAGAGCTCATGAACTATAAAGAAAAGATGTTTACTCTCCTTGTTTGCTACAGCCAGATTTAGTAATGGACATAACCAAGCCCTGGAGGACCTGTTTCTGTCTAAATCTATGCCTTGACAAGGTCCCAGAAGCCTGGATGAACCACACCTCAAGCTTCACCTGTGGATGACACCTCCCATTGTTCAGCAATGCGGGTGCCTGCAGCAGCTACAGCCATGAGCAGCTCTCCCAACCCATGAGTTAGGAAGCAAGGACTCGGGAATCCTGCTGCACACTATGCTATAAGGGAAATAAAGCCAAAATAAAAGCCACGGTTGGGACAGGAAGGGTGAAAGATGATCACAAAGCCACGCAGAAACTATTTAGCTCCTCTAAGAAATGCCACAGGAAGCCATTTACATGCTTAGTTTGGTGACATGTCTCCAAGAACCACCCCACAGGGAAGTTTGTAGCTCTTCACACCATATCCCCTTACCCTTCTTTGTAAAGTTTTAAATGTTTACAAATATTTTTATTTATATTATTTGAACTATAACTTAAATTTTAAAAATGGTTAATAATTCTGAAGACTTATCAATGCTTTTAATATCCTAATGTACATTCTGACTCTCTAAAAAGTACATAGTTTATGCAGTATGTTCCAAAACTAAGATATCATGCAAACCTTTTTTTCAAAGACTATCTGTGAAGGACGGATTGTCTGTAAAACACATTTGCAAAAGTGCTGCCCCACCCCTTTGAGTCACAGTGTAGCAAAGGAGTAAACAGGCAGTTATGTAAGATAGTGTGTGTGTGCGTGCGCAGGCACACACACACTATAATCACCATCTTGATAGATACTAAGACCTAATTAAGGAAGAAAAATAGAATGGATGCTCAGATCCCCTTCCTCCCCCAAAATAAAAGGAAAAGTGGAAGGATTATATTCACCCAATTTAGAGAGAGAATAGTTGTTCATTACCTATTGATTTGTTCATTCCTCATTTAGCGATGAGACTTAATACATTCATAATGCCTTTTAAGAATGAGGCATGGTTTTTTTTTTTTTTTTTTTTTTTTTTTTGAGACGAAGTCTTGTTCTGTCACCCAGGCTGGAGTGCCGTGGCGCGATCTCGGCTCACTGCAACCTCTGCCTCCTGAATTCAAGTGACTCTCCTGTCAGCCTCTGGAGTAGCTGGGATTACAGACACGGCCACTGTGCCTGGCTAATTTTTGTATTTTTAGTAGAGACAGGGGTTCGCCATGTTGGCCAGGCTGGTCTTGAACTCCTGAACTCAGGTGATCTGCCCGCCTCAGCCTCCCAAAGTGCTGGGATTACAGGCGTGAGACACCGTGCCCGGCCAAGCATGGGTTCTTAATCCAAGAGTTTCCTAAACCCATTTGAAGCTATTTGTATTTTCAGCCATACAGTCTCCTAAGAAAGTAGTCCTTCCATGACTTTTATGCAAGGAGTCAATCAGGTCCCCATCCGAGAAAGCCTGGCTGCAGCCCCAAGCAGCCCCAACTGGGCAGCAGGTCACCTGAAAACCTGTACATGAGGTATATTCTCCAGGCTGAACAGTGGCCGATGCTTTTATTGCCAAGTAGCTATGGATGGTTTGCTCAGTATATAAAAGCTCCACTGGCCCAGCTTCTGGGTGGGGTGAGGCTGATGTTCTTAAGCCAGGAACAGAGAAAGCAGAAAGGAAACAGATAAAGTTCCCTTTCTTCTGCCTCCAAGTTGGCCTTTCTCTGACACAAAGAAAAAAATTGGTCAGGTGCAGTGGCTCATGCCTATAATCCCAATGGGAGGCCAAGGTGGGCAGATGGCTTGAGCCCAGGAGTTCGAGACCAGCCTGGGCAACAAAGTGAGACCTTGTGTCTATAAAACATACAAAAATTAGCCGGCATGGTGGTGCATGCCTGTAGTCCCAGCTACTCGGGAGGCTGAGGTGGAAGGATCAATTTATCCCAGGATGTTGAGGCTACAGTAAGCAGTGATAGTGCCACTGCACTCTAGCCTGGGCAAGAAAGACAGTGAGACCCTGTCTTAAAAAAAGAAGGAGGAAAGATAGTGCATGGAGAATGCAATGCACATTCTTCTTAACCAGTTATTATGTTATACATCTTTACTTGTCTGACTCAGGTAGTTCCTTCCAAAGTACAGTAGAAGCTCTCTAAATGGAGCACCACTTACCCTGATCACCCAACAACTAACCCTTTCCTTTTCCCTCTGTCAAACACATGAATGATGTCCACGGCACACTCAGTGCTATGGCCAATGACTGCTACTCACCAGCACAAATGGGCGCTTGTGCTCCCAACAGTTGTGCTCTACTTCCTAAAGTCAGCCATGTTTCTTCCCAAGCCTGTGTGTGCTGCTTACATAAACGTAATTCCATGTTTGCTGAATTCAGAAGTATGATTGTTAAAAAAAGAGTTGCTGATTCTATGAAAACGCAGTGGAGTGATTTAGAAGCATTCAACAAAGCTGAATTTCCACCCCCCAACACAAAAAGTTTGTCCAATTAGGTGTGCCTGAAATAAATGTAAAAGATTTGGTGGGCAAGGGCCATTAAAATAGCAAATTCTGCATGAAGGCTGTTTCCCAAGTGTCTTTATGTCCTCACTTAGTTTGGAGAAATCAAAATTGGGTGCAATAAAAGATGTATTTTGGGTGTTGTTTATCCAGGGCAAATGACATGGCATGCCAAATCAGGTGATCCTTACACACAAAAAATATGCCTCAGCCCCACATATCCATCACCTGTCATGTATTTTTTGACCTTCCAATTAACCATCCAACTTCTGGTCTCAAGGTCACTGGACAAAATAGCTTCTGGTAAACATCTGATTATTTATGTCCATTGTATATTTTCCTTTTCATCATTAGTACTAGTCCACCTCCCTATTTCTGGAAGCATATAAGTTATTGAGTGGGTACAGTAGAAAACACTAGACCTGATGTCAGAAAACGGATTCGAGTCATTACTTGTATTCTTTGGGCTTCCGTTTTCTTATCTATAAAATGTGGTGCTGGGGATGGGGATGGGAATGGAGGGTGGGAGTAGACGACAAGAGGTGAAGTTGGACTAGATAATCTTTCAGGCCTCTTCTGATTCTATAAAATGCCATTCTACATAACTCGGGTCATATAAGACAGGCAGAGCTCCTTAAAAATTTATTAGTCTTTAGAAATACATTAGAAAATAATATTTGGAAAAATATGTTTGTTATTAATGTGAGAATAAGTAAATTTACTTGAGATAAGTAGACTTTTTTAGGAATTTTAATTTAAAAGAAGAAAATATAAAAGTAACCACATATATAAATGATTAAAATAAGATTTAAGTTGCCAACATAAAATAGAAATTGATATCCTTATAATTTGAGAATAAGAAAAGATCTAAAAGATGTTATATCTTAAATGTCCATGCTATCTATAACAAAAAACAAACTTTTAGAAGAAACTATTCTTATTAATTTACAGTTCCAAAGTGGATTACAAAGTTGCATTTCTGAGAATACCATGCAGTATAAAATTAAATAATATTCAGTATTAACTTTAATTTCACTAACAACAATTATTGATTGGTGGAAATAAATTACCCAAAGAAACAAATGCCACTTTCTTTCAGATCTTTAGATCTGGCCAGGCGCAGTGGCTCACGCCTGTAATCCTAGCATTTTGGGAGGCTGAGGCAGGCGGACTGCCTGAGCTCAGGAGTTTGAGACCAGCCTGAGACCAGCCTGGGCAACATGGTGAAACCCCATCTCTGCTAAAATAGAAAAAATCAGCTGGGCATGGCAGCATGTGCCTGTAGTCCCAGCTACTCAGGGGGCTGAGGTAGAAGACTCACTTGAACCCGGGAGGTGAAGGTTGCAGTGAGCCAAGATCACACCACCGCACTCCAGCCTGGGCAACAGAGCGAGACTCCATCCCAAAAAAAAAAACAAAACAAACAAACAAACAAAAAAACTTTAGTGCCGCAACAGAACTAAAATAAAGTTAAGCCTATGACGTAATCTAAATCACACTTGAATTCCTTTACTAGCAATGTGGCTTGTCAAAAATAAGTATTTCTAGATAAAAAGAAAATTACTGGAGCTCACTACCTCACATATTGTTTTGCTGCTTCTTTCATTTTAATTATTAATTAAAATGGTGTCTGAATTACCTTCTGTGCCACAAAAATTATACAAACTAGGCTCATATAGAAACATAAGAAGTTTAAATCTAAGTACACATGATCCTTTCAAATAACCATTTGTCATTTGTCAGTGGGAAGAATAAAAACAAGCGTAATTTTCAGTTTGTGTGCTGCCTTGGAGTCTATATCAATTTCAAGTTTTCTTTTATGATTCAGCTATTCCAAGAGTTCCAAGAGTCTGAAAATATTTCATTAAAAATTAATGTGTTATCCACACAAATGGCAAATATTGAAAACTAGGAATATAAATAAAAAATAATAAAAATAGTAAGTCTACTAATACTGAAGAGGAAGGAAGACAGGAGGGGAGGAGAGCATGTGAAAAGGAGAGAGATTTTAAACATCCGGTTTCTATTCTGGACCATTATGGAAACAGACAGACACAGCAAGCGGAAGCCAA